>NC_000001.11:58796259-58947774 GCF_000001405.40 Homo sapiens | reverse complement strand
TTTAAAATTCATATGGAAACAAAAAAGAGCCTGAATAGCCAAAGCAATCTTAAGCAAAAGAACAAAGCCAGAGGCATCACATAATCCAACTTCAAACTATACTTTAAGGCTACAGTAGCCAAAACAGCATGATACTGATACAAAAATAGACACATAAATCAATGAAACAGAATAGAGAACCCAGAAATAAAACTGCACACCTATAATAATCCGATCTTCAATGAAGTTGACAGAAGTAAGCCTTGAGGGAAAGACTCCCTATTCAGTAAATGCTGCTGGGATAGCTGACTAGTCATATGCGGAAGAATGAAATTGGGTGCCTACCTTTCATCATATACAAAAATTAACTCAAAATGGATTAAAGATTAAATGTAAGACCTCAAACTATACAAATCCTAGAAGAAAACCTAGGAAACATCATTCTGGATATCGGCCTTGGGAAAGACTTTATAAGTCTTCAAAATCGATTGCTACAAAAACAAAATTTGACAAGTGGGACCTAATTAAATAAAGAGCTTCTACACAGAAAAAGAAACTACCAACAGAGTAAACAGACAACCTACAGGTTTGTTTCCTGGGTATGTTTCCTGGGAGAAATTATTCATAGACCATACATCCGACAAAGGTCTAATATCCAGAATCTATAAGGAACTTAAACAACTAAACAAGCAAAGACAAATAACTTGATTAAAAAATGGACAAGAGACATGAACAGACATTTCTCAAAAGAAGACATATAAGCAGGCAACAAACATGAAAAAGTTCTCAAAATCACTAATCATCAGAGAAATGCACATCAAAACCACAATGAAATACCATCTCACACCAGTCAGAATGGCTAATTATTAAGAAGTCAAAAGACAACAGATGCTGGTGAGGCGACAGAGAAAAGGGAATGTTTATACACTGTTAGTGGGAATGTAAATTAGTGCAGCCACTGTATAAAGCAGTTTGGAGATTTCTCAAAGAACTTAAAACAGAACTACAATTTGACCCAGCAATCCCATTACTGGGTGTATATACAAAAATAAATAAATCATTCTACCAAAAAGATGCCTGCACTTGTATGCTTATTAAAGAACTATTTACAATAGCAAAGACATGGAATCAACCTAGGTGCCCATCAATGGTGGATTGGATAAAGAAAATGTGGTACACGTATGCCATGGAATACTACATGGCCATGAAAAGTATAAAATTATGTCCTTTGCAGAAACAAGGATGCAGCCGGAGGTCATTATCTTAAGTGAATCAACACAGAAAAAGAAAACCAAACACCACTTGATGTGGTTTGGCTCTTTCCCCCTCCTAAATCCCATCTTGAATTATAACCTCCGTAATCCCCACTTGTTGAGGGAGAGACTTGGTGGGGCGTGATTGGATCATAGGGGTAGTTTCCCCCATGTTGTTCTCATAATAGTGAGTGAGTTCTCACAACATCTGATGGTTTTATAAGGCAGTTTTTCCTGCTGTCTCTTGAACTTCTCTCTCCTGCTGCCATGTAATACATGCCTGTTTTCCCTTCCACCATGATTGTAAGTTTCCTTAGTCCTTCCCAGCCATGCTGAACTGGGAGTCAATTAAACCTCCTTTGTTCATAAATTACCCAGTCTCAGGTAGTATCTTTATAGCAGCGTGAAAATGGACTAATACACCACATTTTCTCACTTATAAGTGGGAGTTAAACATGGGGTACTCATGGACACAAAGGTGAAAACAATAGACACTGGGGACTGCTAGATGAGGGAGGAAGGAGGAGAGGAAGAGTTAAAAAACTAACTACTGGGTACTATGCTCAGTACCTAGGTGACAGGATCAATCATGCCCCAAACCTCAGCGTCATGCAACATACCCAGGAAACAAACCTGCACAGGTACTCCCTGAATCTAAAATAAAAGTTGAAATTATTTTAAAAAAATAAAAATTATAAAAAAATTTAAAAGTATGTTAACAATTTCTAAATATTTAAGAAGTTCCTATTATCGATTTCTTGTTTAATTTTGGTATAACCAGAGAACATGCTTTGTGGGACTTTAATTTATTAAAAATTGTAAGTTTATTTTATGACCCAGAATATGATCTATCTGGGTATATGCTCTGTGGGCACTTGAAAAGAATGTGTATTCTGTTGTTCATGGGTGGCGTGTTCTACAAATGTCCATTAGATTAAATCAGTTGACAGTGTTATTCAGGTTTTATATATCTTTGCTGATTTTCCATCTATGTGTTTATCAATTATTGTGAAAGAAGATTTTGAAGTTTCCTAATTATAACTGAATTTTTCCATATCTCCTTTTAGTTCTTTCAGTTTTTGGTTCATTTATTTTGGATCTTTGTTAGTTGCATAGTATATTTGAGTGTTTATCTTCTTGGTAAATTGACCCTTTTATCATTATAGAATGTCCCTATAATCTATCTATATCCTTATATTTAAAATAGGTTTCCTTCAACCACAGAAAATTTAAGAAGTAATTTTTTTAAATCAATTTCCTGCCTTCTATCTCCCCCAACACCTCCAAATTTCCTCTCTTGCTGTCTCCCATCTCAGTTAATGGCCTGTCAAACTTTCCATTTGCTCAGGTACAGAACCTTTAGAGGTATTCTTAACTCTTCTCTCTTTTTTACACCGCCTTTTCAATGTCAGAAAATATAGTCTGTTCTTCCTTCAAAAAATGTTCAGGGTCTGCCCACTTCTTACCATCTCTGCCACCTGGTCTGAGCACCATAACCCTCATCTGGGTTGTCCCTACATCTTCACAACAGGTCGCCCTGCTTCCATCCTTGTTCCTCTGCACTCTGTTATTGACACAGTCCCCAGAAAAATCCTGTTAAAGCAGGAGTCACACCAAGTCACTCCTGTGTTTGAACCCTCCAAAGGCTCCCATCACAACCATAATATAAGCTAGAGTCACCACAATGACCCATAAGGTCCTGGATGATCTACTTTCCCTTTCTCTGCACCACACAGATTCCTGTTTTCATACTGCCTCCACTTCTGCACCCCCACGCTGCCTCCTTGCTGCTTCAGAAAGGAGGCCGCTGCTCCCCCATCAGAGGAGGCCATGCACAGGTTCCCCAGCTCCACTCCTGTTTTCACTCTGGGCATCTTCCCACCCACTTCAGTGTGCACGCCCTCACCCTCCAACCCTCTCTCCCCTCTTCCACTTTCTTTTTCTCCTGGCTCTTCCCCCATCCTGACACCCTGAGTGTTTCCCTCACTTACCTGCCTGCCAGCCCTCTCTGGAATCTGAGTGCCATGACAGTGTGTGTGTACTGGGGCAAGGGGGTTGGACAGGTTTATTTAAGGCCCCACCAGCTGCACATAGTCAGCACTCAGGCAACGTTTGGTAAGGGGATGAATTTTCTGTTGGCTTTGTCTTCCTCTATAGGTTGTGAGGGAAGAAGTTGCCTCTTCTCATGGGTGCTTTCCCGTTGGTGCCCAGTGGACAGGCTTCCACAGCCTCTCATGGTATTTGTCAGATGAATGAACAAATGAAAAGAGAAAAGAACACACTGAAGAGTTCTGTCGCAGCTGAGGCTGCCCTGGGCTGAATATGTCATCTTCTTCCAGAAGCCATGGTCCTCCTCAGTGCCTTCTAAGGCAAGCCACACGTGGGGACTTTGGCTTTACAGGGTATGGCCTCCAATCATCCCCCAGGGGAACTGCCCTGCCCACAAGCCCAGCCATGCTCTTCCAGCATGTCCCCCTAAATGCCTTCTCCTCCACTACGAGGCCCTTCCTGATAAGTACCTCGGCCCTCCAGGCCCTCTCTGACTCTCAGTCACCTTTCCATCTCTAGCCTCACCCTGCCATGTGCCTGGTGAGTCAACCTGGGAGGAAGTCTCCAAAGTCTCCCCTCAGCTTCTGCCCTTGGGCAGAGTGGGGCCCAGAACGCCTCTTCCAGAAAGTTCCCTGACCCACTCCTTTCTAGTGTGGGAACTCAGTCCCTTCTGTCTGCCCCCTTAGCACCCTGTACTTACCTATATTGTGTTTCAGTGCCTGATTCACTTGTATATCCTCCTACTGGACTGTGAGCCCTTGAAGGAAGGAACCAGGCCCCTTCTTTCTCTGTATCCCAGTGCCAGACCCAAGAGGAAGCTCAGGAAGCACTCACTGACTGATTGACTGGATAAATTTATTTAATAGAACTCAGACCATGTTCTGTGATAATAATAAATCCTCATATTTGTATAGCAATTTGCAGTTTGCAAAGCAATTTCCCATTCATGATCTTATTTCACAACAACTCTTCAAAAATAGCAACTCATTTATTCATTCGTTCATTAACTCATTCACTGACGCTGTGTCAGGCACTGTTATAGGCACTGGAATGCAGGTGCAAACAGAACAGACAACTATGCCTGCCTTTGTGGAGCTTACATTCCTACAGGAGGGATCACCATGTCTATTTTACAGATGGGCAGACAGAGGTTAGCTCTGGGAGGCTAAGCAACCTGGACAAGGTCACAGAGCTTACAGGTAAAAGACCCCCCAATCAGGATGAGGGATGACTGATTCCAAGTAGAGGGAAGACATTTTTCACTGCGGTTACCTCAGGGATTGTGGGCTTATCCATGAGGTGTCTTCTGTCTCTCTTTCTCTCTCTCTAAGTTAACAACAAATAAAAGGAAACTTGGCAGAAATCCACACCCTGGGACTACCTTGGAACTCCTTTCCTTGTCTGATGTGTGTGTTTAACAAAGATGTGAGAAATACCTGCCAGGTCTCTTCGTGCTGGAGCCAAGAAGACAGAAGCCACCCAGCATTGTGAGCACGTCTGCTTGTGTGCAAACCCGCAGGCATTTTTAGCAACTTTGGGGAACATAAAGAAAGCTGTTGGTTTTGTTTGCACATATTTTTTGCCTCTGCAGAAGGCTTCTCACCAAGCGGCAGCCTCAGAGTTGCCTTCTATTTGATCTTAAGACACACAGAGTCATTACAGCTCACTAGCTGAGCTACAGTTGGCAAACTGCTTAACCTGCTCTTACTTCTGTTGTTGGGAAAACGAATCTGATGATAAAAGTCTCTGCCTCTCAGAGTGGCTGTGGGAATTAAATTCAGAAATGCCAGCCTGCCTGTGAGGCTTTGAGACTGGAAGGAGGCAGCTTGGGGAGGAGAAGGCCTTGTTAGAATCTGAAGGAGCTGGGATTCCAGTCCATCAGCTGCAGAACCTTTGGCAGGTAACTTAATCACCTTCACTCCTCCAGCTTCAGTTTCCTTCATCAATGGGAATATTAGTACATATCCCAAAGGCTTGTTATGAATGTCAGCAATAATGGATATATAGTGTCCAGCACTGAGCCTCCATGTAATTATTGTCTAGTAAATGGCATGTGGTGTGCATTATCGTCATCATTATTGTTATTTGTATGTGGGTGGTAAGGTCAAAAAGGATTTTAGAAATTTGAGGCTAAATATGTTGAGCCAAGTATTATGTCTTATGTATGCCTGTATACCTGATGCTCAAAACTCTACCCAGCAGCTGGCAACTGCTCAGTAAAGTTTGAAGAACTGGATTAGATGAAGGAGGAGGAGACCAAGTCCCTCAAAGTGGTTAGCTCAGGCTTGAACAAGAACATGTGTTTACCACATATTTACCATGTGGCACACCTTTGTCTTTACTTGTGTTTGCTCCTCATAGAGACTCACAAGGCAGGTATCATTATTATCCACAGTTTACAAATTAGGAAACGGACACTAAGTCAACAAATGACCTGCTCAAGGTCACACTGTTAGTGGGTAGCAGAGCGAGGGCCGGAACCCAAGAGAGTCTGACTTCTGAGTCCACACTCTTAATAACCTCTGCCCTGCACTGCCAGGAAGGGTTCTGGTTTGAGGTTTCCTCTTATTCTAACCTAGTTGATTTCCTGGCCCTCTGGTTGTTTTTGATGTTCTATGCCAGCAGGAAGAGCAAACCTTCTCTCCCCATAGCAGCTAAGTAAGTGATCTGCATGGCCAGCCCATGTTACTGTTTTGGTGTATTTGTGTTCTAATTTTCCCCCATAACAGTAGGCACTGGGAATGAAAAAGGAGACAGCCATCACCTATCTATCCCCCAGGAGGGGATAACCTCCTGGGCAGTCCCATCTCCCCGGAAGCAGATGTTACTTCCTGCCACCACAGGGCACAGGGGTTCCTACCCATGCCCCTCTCCTGGGAAGCATGCCCTGGAACATAGAGCTGAAGGAGAGGACAGACTGGGTGAACCTGCCCCAGAGACCCCCTAACCAGGGGCTGGGAATGAGGAGATGCCAAATCCCACCTCTGCTCCTAACTCTGCAGCTGCTTCATTTAGGATATCACAGTGGATGTTTCCAACAGCCTTCTGTGCCGTCTCATGTCTAGCTGTAGAATCATGTCTCCTCAGTGCAGAGAGGGGAAGAGGCTTGCCCCCAATCACACAACAGTCCTGGTGGAGGAACCAGGACTGCCGTTTTTGTCATTCCCAGGCGCACGACCCTTGTATAGTGTGATACCAGAGATGGAGATCAAATGCCAAAGGAGTTGTTTTAAGGACTATATCAGTTCTGTTTTGGAGTGGCACGAAAACATGGCAGCTCAGAGTTCCATTTCTAAAGTCAGAGCAGCTGGAGTCTGAATTTCAGCACTGCCCCTAGTTTAGGGACCTTGGGCAAGTCACATAATGTCAGCAAGCCTCCAAGTGGAGGAACTGGTACCCCTGCCTCACAGGCTGCTATGAGGATTAGTTAATTGAGTTCATACAAGGCCCTTAGCCTACTTCTTGGCAAACAGAGAGAGGTCCAAACATATTAGCTTTATTTCTTCCTTAATTCTCCAAACATGTATTAGATAGTAAAATGGGCATTTTACAATATTTCATTCAATATTCACAACAAGACTCTAAGGAATTAAGATATCCACTGAATAGATGAGTAAACACAATGTTTGAAAGGTTGAGTGACTCCTCCAAGGTCTTTTAGTTAGTAATTGGAGGTCTGAATTCTCTGACTCGAGTCCTTATTTTCTATGCTAGTTCATGGAGGCATTTTGTGTTGTTTCATTGTTTTGTTTTGTTTTAACACAAGGTTGGGGTAGATGAACTAATATTATCTTGCAAGTTGACATAAAATGCCCATGTGTGAGATTCCTGTTATTAACTCCCATAGTGCCTGCCTTCTATCTCTCCAAGCTTGGTGCACTTAGCATCTGCCTCATTAAAAATGTATATTCCAAGGCCCTGTCTCCAGATCCACTGAACCAGAGTTTCTGGGTGCAGAGCTGTTTACCAAGCTCTCCAGATGTTTCCAAAGTACTCTTAAGTTTGAGAACCACTTCCTTTGGGAGTCAATAATCCAATAAGCACTGATTGACTGGAAGAGGGAAGACAGTTTTCAAAAAGCAAAAGTCAAACAGATAGCAAGCTTGAAAAGCCATCTTATGTGTCAGTATCAGGTATGACCGGGAGGGACAGGGGAGAAAAGGACCCAGGATGCTGAGAGCCAGCAGAGCTAGTGATCCCCAGTTGCCCCAGGTGTAGTGTCAATAGGGAGTTCAGGCTGAGAGTAGTAAATATCCATCAAGGTAGTTTAGCAACGCTGCCAGGGGTATTCCCAGGGGCAAGGAAAACATCATGTTACCAGGTCTCATGGCAGGTGATAGGAAAGAGCCAGGAAGGAAGGCAGCAGGGACCAAATTCGAGCTTCTGGGAAACTGGCTGGAGGAAAAGGTAGGTACTGGGGCTCTGACAGAGTCCTGGTTTCCATAATAGAGATTTAAGAAGATCATCTTCATCAGGCAAAAGACCAGCTTGCAAGTCCAAGGCACAAAGTCAGAGGGGAGCTAACAATAGGGAGAACTTGATTCCAATATTCCAGCAAAAGCCCAAGGGATATGGGCAGGGGAATGTCCATGGTGGAAACTAAGTGGTCCCAGCAGCAAGATTTGCAGGGCTGCAGGGGGAAGGAGTCAGGAATTTATAATGCACCCAGTTAGCCACTCCTTCAAGCCAGCCACTTACCTGCCGCACATTGGGGTCTATTTTGATACTGGTCCTGCCGTGAGCCTTGTGACTTCAGTTAAGCCCCTTCATGACTCCAGGCCTCGTTCTTCCTCTGATTCATGAGGGTCCATATGTAATAACTCTAATCGAGGTCCCTAGCAGCTCTTGCAGCTACCTCCAAGAGTTTCTGTGAGAATTAACTGTAGACACGCACCATACAATGATGTTTCAGTCAACAACGTATCACATATATGACGATGGTCCCATAAGATTATAACACTGTATTTTTACTGTACTTTTCCTATGTTTTGATACACAAATACTTACCATTGTGTTACAATGAGCTACAGTATTTAGTACAGTAACATGCTGCACAGGTTTGTAGCCTGGGAGCAATAGGGCATACCACATAGCCTAGGTGTAAAGTAGGCTATCCCATCTAGGTTTGTGTAAGTACACTCTATGATCTCACAACAATGAAATCTCCTAACGAGGCATTTCTCAGAACATATCCTTGTCATAAGTGAGGCATGACTCTACTATATCTCTGAATGAGCTAGAACCTCTACACATTTATTTATTTATTTATTTTTGAGACAGAGTCTCACTCTGTTGCCAGACTGGAGTGCACTGGTGCCATCTCGGTTCACTGCAACCTCTGCCTCCCAGGTTCAAGTGATTCTCCTGTCTCAGTCTCCTGAGTAGCTAGGACTACAGGCACACACTGCCACGCCCAGCTAATTTTTGTATTTTTAGTAGAGACAGGATTTTACCATGTTGGCCAGGATGGTCTCAATCTCTCGACCTCGTGATCTGCCCTCCTTAGCCTCCCAAAGTGTTGGGATTACAAGTGTGAGCCACCGCGCCCCACCTACACAGTTTTCGAATTTGTTATCTTGCTAGTTTCTATCTGATCTGTATACACACATCTTCCTTCCAAACCCAAGCACAAACAGAACACAGGTCTCCAGTAGATTTCAAACCAATGTTTCTCCTACTGGCCAGTCTGACTTGCCCTGGTTCTGTGACATGGGTGACAGAAGAGAGCTCTGCTGGGGGCCTGAGAACCTCATCTTGTATTAATGCAACAACAGAAAAAAAAAAAAGAAAAGAAAAGGAAGAAGGGGAACAAGAAGGAGGCACCAAACACGCAACACTTCTTGAGGAGGTACCCAGGTCTACGAGGAACATAGGCACACTCCATGCAAGTGACTGACTCCAGGAGACTCCAGGAGACCAGCTCCATGGAAGCACTTGGTTAATTTGGAAATGTATGAAATTACGGGGGCAAACTAGTCTGCTCACCCAACAAATACTAGGAAGAGGAAGCAAAGCTGAAATATTTCCAGGCTGAACGGCAGCAAGACGAGGGGACAGAGGTTTGCCTGTGTGGCAAAAATGACTGAAATTTTACAAAGATTTTTAAAATTAATGATAAGGATATCCTGGCTGGCGTGGTGGCTCATACCTGTAATCCCAGCACTTTGAGAGACCGAGACAGTGGGATAGCTTGACTCCAGGAGTTTGAGACCAGCCTGGGCAACACAGTGACCCCACACCTCTTAAAAAATAAAAAGAAAGAAAGAAAAGAAAAAGAGGGATACCCTGAGTACTCAAAGTGTCAATGCGGGCCATCAGGTGGGTGATAAATGGCCTTTGGAGCACACAACTCGGGCAATTATGAACTGTGATATTGAGGACAAGGTGTAGCACCTCACTTAGCCTTAGTTTTCAATATGTAGATGTAGTTACTACCTGTTTGTTAAAAAAATTAAAGATAACTGTACCATATCTCATAGAACTTAAATTATTGATTTCAGCATCTCTGAAATTAAGATATGTCACATTTTAGAGTCTATGAAACAACAGTATGTAAAGCTCATTACACAAACTGGACACTCAATACTTATGGACAATTATTATCTAGTAAGAGCCAGAAGTTGTGCCCTGTAAGACATCCTGCAGCACACTTAAGGCAGCTGACAGCAACACTAGGATGGCCAGATTGCTAGAGAACAGGAACCACATCTTCTGTTCATGGTACACTATTCATGGTCTGTTGCATGAGTGGATATACCTGAAGGGCCCTGAAGCTCATCATTCCAAATCTGAGATTCCAGATTCCATGGGCATTAATGTTACCATAATAGTACCAACCACCAAAAAGTGTTATATTTTCTGAATCCAGAATCAGGACACACAATTTATCATCTACAAAATGAAATAAGACACTCAATGTCTGATCTAACTCAAATCATCTGCTGTGGTCAGAACCATCTAGAACAACCCAAATTTCTTAGAACCATATTACTTCCCACCTCTGAATGTTTGCATATGCTCTTCCTTCTGCCTGGAATTCCCTTTCTCCTCCCTTCCTTTCTTCTTTCCTTCTCCTGTGCTAGAGGCATTGGATACAGGATGGGCAAATGGACAAGGCCCCTGCCCACACATCAGTTCCAGACTGGCAGAAAAGATAGCTAAACAAGGACTAACAAGTAAGGGCAGAAACTGCAGGGAGTGCTGAGATTAGGCAATGGGGTGAACCTCTGTCTCTCTATACTGGCTCCCTGACAAAACCCAGCTTTTCTTTCGAGATACAACTCAGTATCCTCTTTTTTGTGAGGCTTTCTTCTGTAAGGCTGTTCTGGACCCCTCAAGTTAGGCTGACTTCCCCATCAATGGACTGCAACCCTGGGGTAGCACCTTTCACTCTGACCCCACTTCTAGACTGTGAGCTTCTTGAGTGCAGAAATGTGTCTAATTCATAGCTTGGTTCCTAGGACAATGGCACGCACATAGTAAGTGCTCAGTAAGTGTTGCTGAATGAAGATGATTTGATGAATGATTAATTTTGTGACTAGCGGATTTCTCCCTATGAAGAACCTCAAAAAAATATAAACAGCCAATTGTGTTTAGCTCCCTTTTTTACTGGGTCTCAGTATAGTCTCTGTAAACAGGGAATTAGAGTAATCAGCATATTTCCTCTCTTCTATTTTCCTATTTTGTCTTTCTTTTCTTTTGTTCTTTGAGTAGAACCTTTCCATCAACTGCAATTGTACCCAGAAGCCCAAGGTGTAATGTAAATAAAGTCTGAACTTCTCTGAAGCTAGAGATGGGACTCAAATCCTCAAAGCTCATCTCCACTTTCCTTTTGCCAGGAAGAGTACATTTCAATACCCTCCATCCTCCCTGTCACCCTAATGCTAAATCAGCCTGAAATTAACTATATCTCAAGTAGCCAGAACCACTGGGACCAGGTATTACAGCCGGGAAAATAATAACAAATATTTATAGAGTGCCTAATACATGCCAGGGCAGCCAGGGCTTTTTAAAAAGGATCTTGTTTCTGTTTTTTTTTTTAAAGATCTGTTTAATTTTAATTCTTTTTATTTTCAGTTTTTATGGGTACATAGTAGGTGTTCTTTTTCCTTACCACCCCTTTCTCTTAGTCTCAAATTATTTCTTTTCAAATTAAAACTAATCTTGTATTGTTAGCCACCTTAAATACTTTTGAGAACAAGTTAACTTTATAAACAGATACTAATACAAAACACAGTATTCATTTAATCCTCACAACAAATCTGTGGAGTTAGTTTTAGAAATTCTGTTTCATACCTGAGATCAGCGGGGCTCAGGGAGAAAGAGAAGTTGCCCAACATCACTCCAGGAAGTTCGCAAGCACAATCCTAGCTCTCTGCTAGTGGGGCTTGCCATGCCTGGCACCACTCTCACTAGCAGGTTTACGTTTACTAATTTATTTAATCCCCATAAAACCCAGTGAGATGGATACCGCTGCTGTCGCCACTTTACAGATGAGAACACAGAGGATTGCACAGGTGAAGTAGCTTGTCCAGGGCCACGTGACCAACAAATACTGGGCCAGCCCTTGAACCAAATCATCCTGATCCATGCCCAAGCCTGTGTTTGTACCAATGTGGAGCCCATCTCGCCAGTCTGACTTGCCCTGCTTCTGTGACATGGGTGACAGCAGAGAGCTCTGCTGGGGACCTGAGAACCTCATCTTGTATTAATGCCTTCTTGCCTCAGAAGCCTCCTGCCTCGGAAGCCCTTAACTTCCCTCCTCCCTTTAAGGGCCTTCTCCTTCCCTCCTGAGCGGGGCTGGAGGAAATGCAGAAAGGCTGGGGCCATCAGAGTAGAGTCAAGGCAAGTACCATGATCATTAAGCAAACCAGACCATCTGGGGGCAAATCTGAGTCTCCCTGCAGCCTGGCTATTGACCTCTCCCAGGTTAGTTAATGTAAGTCTCCATTTTCTCAGCTACAAAATGGGGATTATAATAGTAACAATCCCAGAGGTATTGTAGTAGGGCATGAAAAGTGCTTAGAACAGTATCAGTCGGCCTCTTGGATCCGTGGGTCTTGCATTTATGAATTGCACCAACTGCAGATTGAAAATATTCAGGAAAAAAATAATTGCAAAGTTTCAAAAAGCAAAACTTGAATTTGCCATGTACCAAGTACTATGTTAAATCCACACAAGTGAAGTGATGTCTAGACATTGTGTTAGGTGTTGTAAGTAATCTAGAGATGATTTAAAGTGTACAGGAGGATGTGTGTAGGTTATATGCAAACACTACCCCATTTTATCTCAGGAGCTTGAGCATCCTTGGATTTGGGTATCCACAAGAGTCCTGGAACCAATTTCCCTGCGGCAATGACTGTATACAATAATTGTTGGCTACAGTTATGTGTATGTAAAAAGCCTAGCGATTAATAGCTGCTGTCTATGTTACTACAGTCGAGTCTTTGTCTTGGGGGATTCCATATATACATGGAACTTTTGACCAGGGGGAAGCTAGAATTAGCCAAAAAACTGAGTCAGGATGGGAATCCTGATCTTGTTCCTTCTTATTCAGGTTCTTTTCCTGTGGGCAGCCTTCCAACAAAAGCCTATTCAAACTGACAAATGCTCTCAAGTAAACCTTTACTGTCTGCCAGACCCCGCTTGAGCCTCTAGGTCCAGAAAAACCAAAGAGGCACAGGGTCTCCCTTCCATTTTTTGTTAATTGTGGGAAAATACTCATAACATAGTATTTATCATTTTAACCTTCATAATTGTCCAATGCAGGGACATTAAACACATTCACAATGTAGTGTGAATCACCTCTATCTACATCCAAAATTTTTCGTCATCCCCAGCAAAAAAACTCTTTACCCATTAAACAAAAAAACCCACCTTCCTTCCATTCCCCCCAGCCCCAGGTGACCTCTATTCTACTTTCTGTCTCTAACCACATTTAAAAAGAATGTTTTTGGCCAGGTATAGTGGCTCACGCTTGTAATCCCAGCACTTTGGGAGGCCAAGGCAGGTGGATCACGAGGTCAGGAGATTGGGACATCCTGGCTAACACAGTGAAACCCCGTCTCTACTAAAAAACAAAACAAAACAAAACAAAACAAAACAAAACAAAAAAAAACCACAAAAAATTAGCCAGCTGTGGTGGCAGGTGCCTGTAGTCCCAGCTAATCAGGAGGCTGAGGCAGGGGAATCGCTTGAACCTGGGAGGCAGATGTTGCATGAGCCGAGATTGTGCCACTGCACTCCAGCCTGGGTGACAGAGCAAGACTCCATCTCAAAAAAAAAAAAAAAAAAAAGAATATTTTTATTGTGGTAAAATATACATGACCTTAAATGTATCATTTTGACCATTTTTAAAATTACAGTTTAGTGTCATTGAGTACATTTGCACTGTGCAGCCATCACCACCATCCATCTCCAAAACTTTCATTTTCCCAAAGTAAAATTTTGGACCCCTTTCCCCCAGCCCCTGGCATCCACCATTCTACTTTCTGTCTCTGAACTTGACTACTCTAGCCTCCTCATATAAGTAGAATCATACATTATTTGCCTTTTTGTGTCTGGCTTATTTCATTTAGCATAATATCTTCAAGGTTCATCCATGTGTAGCGTGTTCCCTCCTTTTTAAGGCTGAGTAATATTCTATCATATGTATATACCACAGTTTGTATATCCATTCATCCATCAACGGACACTTACTTGTCTTGCTTCCACCTTTTGGCTGTTGTGAATAATGCAGCTTTAACATGAGTGTGCATTTCTCCCTATCTTTGAGCCTCTTGTGGTCTAATGTGGGGGAGGGACATGTAGATCCACCTTCAAGTTGCCTTCAATGAGCTTCTGTTTCCTCATCTGTAAAATGAGGGTCATGTGGGAATTAAATGAAACAATGCATGACTTAGTGCAGTGCTTGTCACACTGTAAACATTCTATAGATATTAGCTCTTGCTGCAGCTACAGCTGCTATCAGGCAGAGATTTTTCAAAAGAAGAGAGGACTGGAAATAGGATGTTTATCTTGAGATCTCTGATAAACATCACATCAACCTACTCTCACAAACATCCTGGCAAGTAGGCCTGAAGATCTCGATTTTCCAGACAAAGATACAGACTCAGAGAGGCCCTCAACTATGAGACAGAAGAGGTGAGCCTGCAACATGGCTTGCTAGGGCTTCTTACTTTGTCAAACTGTGTGAGCCAAGACAGAAAGGCCCAGGGGAAAGCAGCAAATAAAATCTCCCTTGAATGCAGGGCTGTCCTGGGGTAAAGCAAACACACTTGTCCCAGGCAGCTGGAGGAAGGAGCTGGGAGGGCAGATTGAGGAAAGGCATTACACAGAGGCAGGAGCACAGCCTAGGCAAAAGCCTAGAGGTAAGAGGTATAGCATCTGCAGGAGAAATGGCAGGATGCCAGTCAATGAGGTGCAAAGGGCGTGTGCATGGAGGGTGGGGCCAGGCCACAGAGGGCATTGCAAGGCGGACCAGCCCAGTCCAGTTCCTGGGCCTGAGAGGGCTCTGAAGAAATGCCCAAGGTGGCATTTCAGGGAGATTAGTCAGACTGATTGGACAGACGTGCTTGCCTTGCAACACTTTCCTGCCTTCAAACCACAAGCAGTATTTTAAAAATTAATCTTGTGTCTTACCAATATTATGTACATAGTTCAAAAAGTCAGATAGTTCTACAAAGCCCATTCCCCAGCCCCATTTCCCTCCACGCCCAAATCTTACCACCCAGAGACAGCCACTGTTCAATATTTCTTCCAGTATTTAAGTCCGTGCTTCTAAATATTATGTCTACATGTCTCTTTCTTAATTTTTTCATTAGTTATATGGCCTACTGACTTTCCATTACAAAAGAGAACGACTTAGCTCTCTTCTGTCATGGAAACACTTTACCTTTCCCAACTTTCCAATCTAGATATAACATTCCTTTTGTTAGATTAGTTTTTATAGCATTGTGACCACATAAATCACAGCTAAGCCATATTGTATCATGATTAAATTTTTGCTTTTATATGACTTATTCTTTTCACTGAAACTGCTGCCTCATTTAAAAAAAAAAATCTATTAGCTTTATTTCCTAGGTACACACATCCCTCTCCCCTCAGTGAGAAATTTAAGTCTGCTCTCAGAATCTTCAAGCACATCAGGTAATCAAGCCATCCATCTTGCTTCCTTCTGGAGCTCTCAGTGGTCCTGTTCTCACCTGGATGTTTGTTCTCTGTCTGCTGCCAAGATGTAGCTGTCCCCCGGATGTGGCAAGGGCATCCCTGACGCCAGACAGGTGAACATCATTCATCTATAGATTTTACTCAGAAAACACCTACTGTGTGCTTCCAGTTGCCAAAGAGGTCCCATGCTGGAGGCTGGAGATGCAGAGGTGACTTGGATACAGTTTTTACCTTCGAAGGGCTCTCAGCCCAATTGGGATAAATACAGTTAAGTGATGGGCCAGAAGTAAGCCTGGACGTTATGGGAACTCAGCCTTTGGAAGAGCCAGGAGTTATGAAAGGCTTCCTGTAAGAGGTGATGCTAAATGAGCCTCGGCTCGTTAGGAGGAGTTTTCCAAGTGTTATGGGATCAGATTCCTGGTAAGAGAACATTATGTGCACAGTCACGGGAGCATGACAAGACATGACTCCTTCTGGAAATTGTAAGTAATTAATTAGTGATGATCATGTGGGAGGGTTCCAGTCGAGGGGTGGGCAGGGTCCTGTGTGCCAGGTTAAGGGACCTGAGGGCAGTGGGGAGCTACTGAAGGATTTTAAGAAGGGGTGACATGGTCAGGCCTGCATTTAGAAGGGCTAGTGAAGGGGACATTGAGGTCTAGCAGAGGATAAAAAGGCCTGAGCTAACACTGGCACTGGGAGTGAGGCATGGGGCTCAAGATACCTTTTAAAGAAACCAAATGGACTGGACTTGGGGACACAGGGGATGTGGGGATGACCGATAATTCCCAAAGGAAAAAGTGTTTCGATTCCACATATGTCTCCTGGGAAACCTGAAGGTACTCTAGGCTGGGAAAGCTACTGGCCTCTTGGGGTATTTGGGGACCAGACATGCTAAGGGGGTGGATACCCAGAGACTAAAGGAACAGGACCCGGGCCTAGGGTCTCTATAAATTGGAGAGCAGAAGCAAGACTGAAAGACCATGTGGTGGAAAGGGTTGGTGCAGCCTGATAGGTAAGACCATGAGCTCTAAGCTCAGGCAGCCCTCAGTTTAAATGCCAACTCTGTCAACTGCTTGTTGAGCCTCAGTTTACCCATCAGAGAAATGGGGATCATAATACTACCTACCTCATGGAGTGGTTGTGAGGAATAAATGAGACCTTATCTGTAAAGCACCTGGCATGATGCCTGGAACAGAAGAAGTGCTTCGTTTTGTGTCTTCCTATTGTTGGTCTTGGAGAGTAAAAACTGCTTCAAAGATCAGGTGACATTTGAGGTGATCTCAGAAAAGGAGTAGGCAGAGATGGCTTCATGGGCAGGCCCACAGGGCCATGAGCACAGAAGAGCCCCATACATGATTGAATGTTCTGCTCTACCATCTTGAAATTCTCAACGATTTTTGAGCAAGGAGCCCCCCATTTTCATTTTTCACTGGATGCTGCAAATTCGCTAGCTGTGCTGTCATAGGAGACCATTCGGCAGAGAAGAGGAGGGGAATGCTTTTGAAGCAAAGGGGCTTTAAGTGTGCAAAGACACGCTGGAACTCAAGGCTCAGCCTGTTCTGAGAACAACCAGCACGAGTTATGATGTTCCTAGCTGGAGAGTTGTGTACGAGGTAGAAGCTCCAAGTGGAAAACAGTGAAAGGCCTCAAATGCAACACTAAGGAATCTGGCTGTTACATATTGTATATGTGGGGGGCTTCCAAACATTTCAAATCTGAAAATGTTAAGGTCATTGATGTTCAGGCAGAACACTGGTGAAACTGGAGGTGGAATGGTGTGGAAAGTGTTGTGATCTGTATTTTATAGAAGAGAAAACTGAGTCCTAGAGAGGTGATATGAGCATGGCTGCAATATGATTTTCACAGGCCCTAGGCAATTTTGCCTATGTGGACTCCTTTCTCCAGAAAAGTGTGCATGTATGTGTGTGTGCGTAAAATTATACTTTACAACTACATTGACATGAAGACAAAGATCTTACTATTCTATAAGAAAACATTTTCTTATAGACCCAAGGTGCTGTGTCTGCTGTGCTGAACAAGTAAGTCATCCGGGATGTCAGTTGCTCTCTTTTCAGATGTTGTAGCCAGGACTCCTGGACCTTTCTGGAATGGGTGGGAAGTCCTGTTTCTCCTCAAAGGGAATGCTAGCTAGTCCCAAAGGTCATTTCAACTGGGGCCTTCTGTGCCTCCAGGGACACTGTGTTCCAATCTCCTACAGAAGGAACTGAAGTTTGTCTGGGTTTGGAACTGGAAGGTGGGGCTGACTGACAGGTAAAGGAGACAGAGTTGTGAATGTTCTGGGGTTTGGGGAGAAATCAAAGGTCTCATATCTGCAGATGTTTGCGACTTTGCCCTTATGTCACCTACAGCTTCAACCCCAGGGACTGGGCTGCCTACCTACTCCACCCACGGGGAGGGCGGGGAGGCTGAGTCAGCGGCGGCGGCTGAGGATGTCTGGAGAGGAGAAAGATCACTGTCTGTCTGTCTGTTGGGGTTCCAGAGAAACCTGTCTGGAGAGGGGGAAGCATGCAGGCCTTCCTTTGCACGTACGTCAACTGCTCACGTAGCCAGGAGAGTCGACAGAGGTTCTAGAAGGATAGTCCCTGCTTTACCTCCTTCCTGAGGCTTTCCTTAAAGATCTTCACTGGCCTTCTCTCCCTTTCCCCCTGAAACCCGGGACAGTGACAGGATGGCCTAATTCATGAGCTTCAGTCCAGTCCTCCCCCTCTCCCAGCTTTGACTACTCATGTACCTGGTGGGGAGGGAGAATGGCAAACAAAAGAGAGCATAAGGAGGGCGGAGGGACTATTTGGGAAAGAAAAATAGATCTGGCATAGCAGTCCCTTTAGGTCTCAATCTTCAAACCTGGGCTTTCTCTGGGCCCAGGGGTTTATGAGTGAATGAATGAATGAATGTTCAACCTTTCCTGGTCTTAGAAGTCACCCCACTGTCTGTCCTCCAGTTCTTATGGTCAGGAGATACCCAACTGCTTCTAAAATAGGAAGGAAATTGATCAGAAAGGAAACCTGCAGATAAATTTGAGTGAGAATTATTGAGACAGTTCCTACCTGATTACCTCTATTTTCTCTACAAAGGCTGAAGGTTTGGTGGGATGACAAATAATAGGAATCGCTACTGCATAGAGGAGAAGGGATCTGACTGGGAATTTGCAAACACATTACAGGGCAGTGTGTGGCCCCTGTGATTTTGGTGGGTAAGAGTAACAGCTAATGTTTCTTGAGCAGTTATTATTGTCCAGGCACTGGGCTTAGTGCTCTGTAGACGTGACCTCTTTGGTCTTCAGATGCACCTAAGAGGCAGGTGCCCCAGTCAAGATGAGCCAGGTCATACTACAGGAATTACAAAAAAAATTCTAGGTGGCTGCAGACACAAAGGTCTATTTCTTGCTCCTGCTCCATGCATCCATGAATGTGGCAGGGGGAAGAGGTATGGCAAGTTGCAAATCCGAGAAACCAATAAGGTTTGAAAGACTGGGAAGGAACAGAGAAAGGGGTTCAGAGTCTGGAATTCAGGAGGAGGTCAATGAGTCAGTCTGAGGAGAGCTCTGAAAAGATAAGAGGGAGGGGTCAGAGTGAGACCCAGCTATTTGAGATTTCAAAGGTGGAGCAGTAGCCAGCCGAGATGAAAGCTGGGTGCGGCTCTGAGTATAGGTGGCTGCCGCGGAATAAAGCAAAGGTCCCTGGAGTTGAGGAGGTCGAAGGTGGGAAAGAGGGAGCCACACTTCTAGTCTTGGGGAAAAGGGGGTCTGGAAGGATGCAACAAGCCCCTGGTGAAGTACAGTGTAGCTTCTTGGGTTATAAATTTTACCAGGACATGAGATTTGTAAATAATGTTTTAATAGCCAAACCTGGGAATAAAATATAAGATTTCAAAAAAGTGTGTGTGGAGGTCCACATGCCTCTACCGTGGAAAGCTGGAGAAGCACTGGGTTTGAGGGGGCCACTTACCCGTCATAGATGACAGCAAACAGGAGGACTAGAGATGCAAACACCCAAGGACCAGGGTCTTTTCTGATTTCCATCTAATGATGATAATAATAAGAGCTAACAGTTCATGAGAGCTTATTACATGCTAGGCACTGTCCTAAACACTTTAGGTGTATAGCTACTTCAGTCATCTCATGATGTCCTGTAGGGACATACCATTTTTATTCCCATCTTACGAGATGGAAAAAGAAGCCTAGAGGAATTGTGTAAGTTGGCCAACGTGGCATCACTAGTGTAAGTCGCAAGTGGGATTTGAACTCAGGTAAACCAGCTTTAGAACCCATACCCTTAAATGCTGCACTAGTGGTTTTCCAACATGGGTAATCACTAGAATTGCCTGGGGTGGGGTGGGGTGGAGGATTTGTTAAAGCAGGATGTTTGGTCCCTCCCCTAGAGTTTCTGATTCAGTCAGTCTGGAGTGGAGCCCAAGAATTTCCATTTCTAAGAAGTTCCCAGGTGATCATTGAGCAGCTGGTCCCAAGGCTGCACTTTGAGAACCTCTGTTCCGCTTCATACCACCTCGCAAATAGACACACACACCTTCTCTTAGTGCATGGCAGATCCAGCATCTCTTTCCAGATGTGATTACCAAATGTGTGGCAGCAGGTGTATCTGTTTCACAGGAGGGTAGAGGATTAAGGTGTAGGTAGCATTAGGGGACATAAAAGAAGCTCAGTCCTGCTTCTTGGCTTTGAGGTGTGTGGAATATGAAAAAACAAACCATCTCCATGGGGACAGCAAAGTATACAGGTTCCACTTCAGATCCAGAGACAAAGGCATGCAGAGAGGTGAGGTTTTAAGTGGAGTATATTTGGCACAATACGGGGATACTACAGGGCACAGTAGGAAGAGGGAGCAAAGAAGACAGCAGCAATGGGAAAAATGAGCAAGAGTTGGATGTGAGTGGGGTACTGCTGAGGGAGACAGGAGTTGTCTAAAGAGAGCAGTGCTGCAGGAAAGAAATGCAGACAGGCAGTCCCTGGAGATGTTCCTGAAGTTGTTGCTCTCCAGTCCACTTTCAGAATCTTCCCAGCGCAGAAGCTGATGACAAATAAGATAGAAACTGATGCCCAAATAGAAGTGAAAGAGCTTGAGGCTTCTCAGGGAAAAGGAAGAGAAAGAAGTTCAGAGTGAGTCAAAATCAGGTGTTGGCCTCTGCAAAGCCAGCTTTTAAAAGCTTAAATGCCCTTCCCATTCATTCCTTTGCGTGAGTGTGTGGGCCACTGCAGTTTCCCACCCGCCATCTCTCCTGCAGTTTGTGGTCCAGCTTAATTAAGAGTTCTGCTGGTCCATTAGTGTCGTTCACCTCTCTAATTGGGCACCAGCTGTGTTTTCTCTTGACAACGACTCCTTTATGGAACTTCTAAAATGCATTACATGAAAAAACATAACTGTTTCAGGGTTATATGATTATAAAACCAGGAACACTTGTTTTCTATAGAAATGAAGAGTTCATCTTTCTATGTTCCAGAAACTGTTTTTTGAAAAATGGGGAGGGGGAGTATTGAAGGGCGAATTCTCCATTTGTTTATGTTCGGAATATGAACGCTGATTGTGGTTTTGCATAATCACAGGTGTTGGTGCATAAAGACTTGGGAAGTTTCCTGGCAGAAAAGTGAGACTTGAGAAATTGAACCATGAATGGCTCCATTTACGAACAGCCACCGATGATTGACAGAATGACTATTAGTAGCTAATATTAGCTGAGCTCTTCCTATGGGCTTAACCCTATGCCAAGCACTTGACATAGATTACCTTGTTTAAACCTGGCTGTTGCCTTATGGCCTTATTAGATGGGGGCAATTACTTTCCCCATTTTCACAGATCAGAAAACCGAGTCCAAGGAAGATGAAATAATTCATGTTTAAGGTCACACAACTCAACATGCAGTGGCTGAAGTGGAACTGAAACTCAGGTCTGTCCCATGCCAAAATTCCTTTCTGGTTCTCTCCAACTAAACAATGCAATTAACTGGTGGAGCTAAAGTGCTCTGCTTGCAACAATTGCAAATATCAACAACAATCTCCCCTAACATTGGTACAGAGCTTCCAAGTCACCAAGTTCATTTATGTTTGCTGCCTCATGTGATATGACAGCCCTGTTGGAGAAACAAAGCAGTTACCATAATCCTATATTACAGATAAGAGAACTGATCTAGATTCTCAGGGCTAGATTACTTAACCAGGCACACACTACCAGTAAAGAATGGAGTCAGACCTTTCTAATTCCTAATCCAAATCTAGTGTCCATATCGCTACTTCCTACCCTCTCCCAATGTAGGTTTCTTGCTGAAGAAAGGGAAGATAGACAGACAGATAGGTAGGTAGGTAGGTAGGTAGACAGATGCATAAATAATAGATGAAAGATAGATATTTCCAATTATTCATTTATTCATTTGTGCCTTTATTCATTTAATTAGCTATATTATATTTTTAATTTCCCTATCCTGATCACTTATAAGTTTATTTAGTTGCTGCCTGTCACCCCTCCTTGGAATGTGAGCTCCATGAGAGCTGGCCCTTGTCCCTCTTTTTTTTTTTTTAAATCAACTTTTATTTTAAGTTCCAGGGTACATGTGCAGGATGTGCAGGTTTGTTACCTAGGTAAACGTGTGTCATAGTGATTTGTCGCACAGATCAACCCATCACCTAGGTATTAAGCCCAGCATGCATTAGCTATTCTTCCTGCTCTCCTTCCCCTCACCCCAACCCCGATAGGCCCCAGTGTGTGTTGTTCCCTCTCATGTGTCCATGTGTTCTCATCTTTCAGCTCTCACTTTTGTAAGTGAGAACATGTTGTGTTTGGTTTTCTGTTCCTGTGTTAGTTTGCTGAGGATAATGGCTTCCGGCTCCATCCATGTCCCAGCAAAGGACATGACCTTGTTCCTTTTTATGGCTGTATAGTATTCCATGGTGTATATGTACCACATTTTCTTTCTAATATATCATTGATGGGCATCCTTGTCCTTCTTGATAATTATATTTCCAGGTCCCCAATAATGCCTAGAACTTAGAAGATTCTTAATTAACATTTATTGTTGAATCCATTCAAACAACTATTAATTAATTTGCTCAGTAAACGTTTATTAAGTATCTACTATGTGCCCGGCACAGTTAGGTCTGAGAGATACTGCCCTGAAAGAGACAGGTACAGTTCCTACCTCCATGGAGCTTTCATTCTAATAGGGAGGGGAGATTTATTCACAAGTAAATGAGATCATTGCTGCTGATTGGGATTTGCATCATGTGGGGCTTACCAGAGTGATGTGATAGAAAGTTTTTGTTCTAGAGCTGTTCACATGCTACTGAGCCAGACCTTGCAGCCCCCGAGGCAGTTTCCATCTCACATGATTAGTAGGGGCTTTACAAACTCAGAGACAATGCAGTTAACTCAGAGTGGGAGGGATTGGGTGGGGAGGAATCAGGGAAGGCTTCCTGAAGAAGAAGCATCCCAGTGGTTTTAAAGACGACTAGAAGTTCTCCGGGAAAGGGGTGGGGAATATTCTAGGCCTGTGCAAGGACAGGTGGCAGAAGGCCAGTGGGCACACTGCAAGGGGTGACTGAGCCTTAGTGTGAGGTGGGAAGAAAAGAGGTGAGGGAGACGGGCATGAATCAGGTCCAGAAGCACCCTGTTAGGATGGTTAGTTTTATGTGTCAACTTGACTAGGCTATAGTACCCAGATATTCAACCAAACACTAATCCAGGTGTGCTGAGAAGGTATTTTGTGAATATGGTTAATACCTAAAATCAGTTGACTTTAAGTAAAGAAGATTGTCCTCAATCACATGAGTGGGCCTCAGTCAGTCCATTGATAGGCCTTAAGAGCAAGACTGAGATTTCCCTGAGAGAGAAAGAATTCAGCTTGTGAACTGCAGCTTCAGCTCTGCCCAAGAGTTTCCAACTGGCTGACCTGCCCTGCATATATCAGAAATGTCTAGCAAGATCCCACAACTACAGAAGCTAATTCCTTGAAGTAAATCTCTAGATAGACAGATAGATAGATGATAGATAGATAGATAGATAGATAGATAGATAGATAGACAGACAGATAGAAAGAGAGATAAGATGGATAGATTAGATTATATATAGATTTGATAGATAGGTGGGTAGATAAGATAAATAGATAAATTAGATAGATAAGGCAGATGATAGGTAGATAGACAAGATAGATAGATATAGATAGAAGATAGAAAGATAGATAGATAGATAGATAGATAGATAGATAGATAGATAGATAGATAGAATCCTAGTCTCTTACTGATTCTGTTTCCCTGATAGACTCCTTCCTGACTGATACACATCTACCTAGCTAAGAGACTTAGACTTCATCATTAAGGTGATGGGAAGGACTCATGGAGGGTTTAAGCAAAGGCGCAGCATAACCAGATTTGTGGGGGTTTTTTTTTGTTGTTGTTGTTTGTTTGTTTGAGATGGAGTCTCGCTCTGTCACCAGGTTGGAGTGCAGTGGCTCAATCTCAGCTCACTTCAACCTCCGCCTCCCAGGTTCAAGCAATTTTCCTGCCTCGGCCTCCAGAGTAGTTGGGACTATAGGCACACGCCACCATGCCCAGCTAATTTTTGTATTTTTGGTAGAGACAGGGTTTCACCACGTTGGCCAGGATGGTCTCGATCTCTTGACCTCGTGATCCACCCGCCTCGGCCTCCCAAAGTGCTGGAATTACAGACGTGAGCCACCGTGCCCAGCCTGTGTTTTTTAAAAATAGCTCTGGCTGCAGTGTACAGTGCATTGGACGGGGCAAGCCTGGAGTCGCTGGGAGACCAGGTTGGAAGCAGTTGCCTGAACTAAGTCATGGCAATGAGAACATCCAGAAAAGAGGGAATCAACTCAAGTGATACTATGGAAGCAGAATTGGCAAGACTTGGTGGCCAATTGCAAAAGAGGGTGAGGGAGAAGGGAGTTACAAGGAGCCCCAGACCCTTGGACATCTTGGTAGAAGCAGGGTAAGTGCTATAAGAGCAGGGACTATGTCCTCTCCTTTGCTGTAAACTTTACTCCTTGAACAGTACCTGCACCTGGAAGGTGTTTATTACACATTTACTGAATGAATGGCCGTGCAATTCTCTGAGATCCAGATCACGGGTTGGATGATTGGGTGGTGAGGATGAGGAATACACAGTGCAGGAGAACCTCCTTTCTCCTCACTCCATATACTCTCAGAGTGACTTCGGTCCAGGCTTGTGGTATTAAGCACCCTGGGAGTATACAGAGTGAGGAGAAAGGAGATTGGGGACCGAACCTTGGAGAAATTGCAGCATTTAAGGACTGAAGGAAGGAAAGGATCCCTTAGAGGAGAATGAGAAAGTGGCCAGATGGGGAGGAAGGGAATCAGAGGCCACAGAGTCAGAGAACACACCAGGACAGAATGCTCCCACTGCTGCTGAGGGGTGTCATTTAGATTTACAACAGTGACCTTGGGCAGGGCGGTTTTGTTTGGCATCAAGGGGACAGAGGCCAGACTGCAGACATTTGCAGAAGGCATGGGAAATGAGGTAGAAGAGGCAGTGTCTCCAGTGGTTTCTCTCAACCTTCCTACCAAAGAGTTGACAGACAGCTCATTACCACCTCATTTTAAAGGGCCTGAAACTGAGGCACACAGAGACAAAGTTGGTTCAAAGTCATCAGCAAAGGGGAGTTCTGCTAGAAGACCACAGCTGTCCAGACCGCACACTACCTTTTATGACTTGGCAGGATACAGACTTTGAAAGAATGGTTGTGCAGGGTGGGGCCCAGGCCCTGTACCGGCTGATCGCTGACGACGTGCAGGGCAAGAGCCTCCAGGGCGTGCGAGAACATTTTCTCAAGGGGAACCACCTTCCCTTGAAACAGCTTGTTCTGCTGAGTTGACAGGAGAGAGGAATGGGGACTCCTCAGTCCCGGGCCTTGTGCCAAAACACGGAGCAAAGGCTCCGGGGAGGCTGGGCCTGGCTGCCGTCTCCCTGGGCCCTGTGTGGGCCATCCCAGCACCTCTAGCCTCTCAGGGCACTGGAGTGAGGCCGCATGTGTCAGATTTGTTTGTTTTGAACTAATATTAAAAGAGTACTTACTATGGGACAGACCCGATATTCATCATTTTATGTACTCGAATTTACTAAATCCTCATTACATTCTTTAAGGAATGTATGCTGATTGTCCTTATTTAAAGATGAAAAATCTATCCCAGAGAAGTGAAGTCACTTGCCCAAGCCTTCACAGCTAGTTCTGTAGGTGGGAGAGCAGGGATGCTCAACTTTTGAACCTGTGGGGTGGACAAATATTTAGCCTTGGAGTGTGGGTTCAAATCATCCCCAGACGCAGGAATAAGGATCCAGGTCAGGTCAGGCTTCCCTCTCTGGCTCTGGGACCTTGGGTAAGTTACATCACTTCTCTGAGACTCGGCTTCCTCATCTGTAAAATGGGAGACATGTTGCTCACCTCACAGGATAAAAGAAAATGTTTTTAAAGTATCTCATGGAGAGTCTCCAGTCTAGGGTGGGTGCTCCATGAAGGTTAATTCTCCTTCCCCCTCTTTTTTTCCCCCCAATAAGCTTTGGTCCAAACCAGTATGTTGGAAGATTAGGGCAAAAGAACTGGACTGTGAATCAGAAAAAAGCAAGAGTCTAATGCTGCTTCTGAAGCCTAATTATTTATTTTGAGCAAGTCACTTTTCCTTGATAGAGCCTCAGTCAGTTTCCTCAGCTCTAAAATATGGGAAGATCAGCTTAGTCCAGGATGGCATTCAAGCCCCAAGCACCTCCCTCCATGCCTTTGCAGGCATCACCAATTGATCATGACCTTTTCCACCGAGCCAGAGTAACACCCAAGAACTCTTCTTAGTAATGACTTCCTATAGGTTGTGTGTAATTCTTCCAGTAAGCAATTACGCCGTGGGTTAAATCACCATATTTCAAGAATGTACTTGCTGAGATGCAAATCCCTCTGATAAAGATAACATATTAATCTTGTCATCTATTTGCATTAGTAAGGATAAGTTCATATAGGAGCTCCAGAAAGCACAGGTAAGTTTGTTGTTGCAGTTTTGTGTTTGGGGTTTTGTTTCATCTTAAATCGGGTGGGGTATAGATGAATAAGCCTGGGATAGAGGATTGATCTGTGCATCCAGAAGAAAACAGGGAAAGGGACAGTTATCGAGAGGAAGTGACCAGTAATCGCAGTATACAGATGAGAACACTGTGCTGGAAAATGAACCAACCAACTGAATTAGCTATTTTCACAGCTAGTAAATGGCAGAGTTGGGATTCAAACCCAAGCAGCTCCACCTCCAGAACTGACAGCTATGCCATAAATGCAGAATCCATTTATTTAGTCCAAAAGTTATTACTGAATGCCTACTCTGCACCCAGCACGGTTTTTAAACCTGGGGATGCAGTAGTGAACAAAATTGTCCAAATGTCTTGCCTCATGAAGCCTATAGTCTAGGATCACATTGACTTGGCACCTGTTATGTGCCTAGTGCTTCACCAGCACTGGAGACAGTGAGGCCCAATGTCAATAGCTCTTCTTGGCAGGAACATATGTTTGAATCTTAGCTCCACAGCTTCCTATTAGATGAGGGAAGCCATTCCATCACTTTGCTCCTCAGTTTCCTCTTTGAAACATAAAAAGAGTAACAGCTACTTCCAAGGATTTCTGTGAGGTTTAAACAAAGCAATATTTGTAAAGCACACAGTATTGCAAATTTGGGATACTCAATACATTGTAACTAGCATTATTAATTCTGTATCCTCTTTTTTTATTTTATTATTATTATACTTTAAGTTTTAGGGTACATGTGCACAATGTGCAGGCTAATTACATATGTATATATGTGCCATGCTGGTGTGCCGCACCCGTTAACTCGTCATTTAGCATTACTGTATCCTCTTAACAGCTATATGAAGTACGTACTGTTTTCTCCATTTTGCAAGAAGGCTATTGAGTCTTTGAGAGTTTAAGTTTCAGAGAGGTTAGGTAACTTACCCAGGGTCATACAGCTAACCAGTGGTGGAACTGATATTCAAATCCAGGACTACTTGACTCCATTGCCCAAATATAACACTGTGGCCACATTTTTTAAATTCACAATTGGAGTAGCTGCAAGGCAATGGCAAACCATGTTCCTCTTTGGCGTCTTATGCAACAAACCATATGGACCCTCAAGCTCTTACATAACTGGCCCAATGCTAACAAGAGGAAGTTTAACAACAACACAAAAAACAGATCACATTCACAACAGACCACCATATGTTCTCCCATCCCCTGACAGCAGCCATCCCAACTCCTACTCGGGCGCCCACAGAAATCTTCTCCACAACAACAGTTTTATTCCCAAGTGACTCAAACGATTGATGCCTTTATAAAAAGAAGGGGCAGCAGGGAAGAGTCTGCACTCCTTCAAAAGAAATCAATCTCAGTAACTCCTCGGGAAAGCCCAGAAACCTTCAGCCTCTACTTGGCCTTTTCTTGGAACCTGGAAGCTTCTGTGGGGACGGCATGGACTCTGAGACATGGCAGCCCCCTCACTCAGAATGAGGGAGGCCATGATGATTTCTGGTTTCTGTGTTTACAAGCCAGATAGCCTGGGTTGTTTGGGTCACCCGCTTCACTTGCTCTCAAACTCTTACATACTTTGGTGTTCTGGTGCTCAGCTAGAGAGTCTCAAGTTTGCTGTAGGCTTTCTGGAAGTGCCACTTCTGGAGCTGAACCCAATTCTGGAAGGCTGGTTTGACTGTGAACATCAGGCAAGGGGTACCTGTCCATGCCTCCAGGCCAGGCACCATCTTCGTCCTCTATGTATAATGTTATGCCTAGTCTCCTGCTTCCTTCACCGCCTCCCGTCCATTTCCCTGCCCCGCAGCCAAAGCAATCCTGCTAACATGTGAATCCACTTCTGTAGTGCCACTGCATAGATCATGTCCACGTGGCCCTGTGCAGGCAGGATAGCCTTCACGCTCCTTATGGCCCCTGTGGTCCTGCATGCTCTACCCCTTCACCTCCCTTTGGCCTATACCCCTGGTCCTCTAAGCTCCAGACACATTAGCATTCTTTCCATTCTTTGTGACTGTACTTGCTTTTCCTTCAGCTCAGCCCATCCATCCATTCTCCTTCTGCTCACTCCTCATTTGTTTTGTTTTGTTTTTTAGACACAGTCTCGCTCTGTTGCCCAGGCTGGAGTGCAGTGGCATGATCTTGGCTCACTGCAACCTCCACCTCCCGGGTTCAAGCGATTCTCCTGCCTCAGCCTCCAGAGTAGCTGGGACTACAGGCACACACCACCACGCCCAGCTAATTTTTGTATTTTGTAGTAGAGACGGGGTTTCATCGTGTTGGCCAGGATGGTCTCTATCTCTTGACCTCATGATCCACCCGCCTCGGCCTCCCAAAGTGCTGGGATTACAGGCCTAAGCCACTGCACCTGGCCACTCCTCTTTTTTTGAATCTCAGCTTAACTGTCACTCTTCCTTCTCTTTTCCAACAGTTTATTTGGAAAAACTTATTTTTCCGAATAAATAAGTTTGTTATTTAGAAATAAATAAATAAGTTTATTATTTGGAAATAAATAAAAAAGTTTATTATTCTTTTTCTAATTTTTTTTTCTTTTGTTTTGGAGATAGAGTCTTGTTCTGTCGCCCAGGCTGGAGTGAAGTGGTGTGATCTCAGCTCACTGCAACCTCCGCTTCCTGGGTTCAAGCAATTTCTGTGCCTCTCCCTCCCCGATAGCTGGGATTACAGGCTCCTGCCACCTTGCCTGGCTAATTTTTTGTATTTTTAGTAGAGACGGGATTTCACCATATTGTCCAGGCTGATTGTCCATGTTGTCCACCGTGTTGTCCAGGCTTGAACTCCTGAGCTCAAGTGATCCACCTCAGCCTCCCAAAGTGCTAGGATTACAGGCGTGAGCCACTGCGTCCAGCCTCTTTTCCTATATTTTTAACATATGTTTGGTCTATCTGTTTCTGTACTTTTTAATTAATGTAAGTACTGAGGTATGAATTTTCCTCTGAGACTGCTTTATGGTATCTCATGGTTTTGATATATAATATTTTCATTAATGTTGTTTTTAAACTTGTCTGTCTAAATTAGAAGTTATTTAAATGAAGTATGTACATCACTAAATTAATTTTTAAATTTTATTATAACTTTCTTGTTTGGTTGCTTTGTAAGAAGAGAATATTACCATGAGTATCTCTGCATTTTGGAATGTTCGAGGTTTGGGCAGCTAATATATGATAAATTTTTATGAGTATAAAATGAACATTTGAAAACAATATAAAATGTGATCTCTATTTTCAGAGTATATCGTTTGAAACATATCAATGAAATTGGCTTTATATTTGTTATTTAGGTCTTTGTTACATTTAATTATGTATTTTATTTACTTATGCATGTATTTATTTATTTATCCATCCACTTGATCTATCAGGGATTGAGAAAATAGGTTACATTTTTGTACCATGATTATTTTGTTGTTAATTTTGTACCATGATTATGTTGTTGTTAATGTCTTCTTACAGCTTTATGAATATTTCTGCTGTGTTATTTTGGGTATAGATTTTCAAAATTCTTGTAGCCTCGTTGTGAATTTCACACTTCATCATTGTTGCATACCCCTCCTTGTCTGTTTTAGTTTTTTTTTTTCTTTAACCTGAATTCCGCAGTTTCTCATATGAAATGGCAACCTCAGCGTTCTTTATGTTTGAATTTGTCTATTATACATTTTCTCATCATCTTATTTTCTTAATCTTTTTGGGCAATTTGGGGTTTTGCTTTATGATCCGGTCTGACAGTATTTCTCTTAGTAAAGTGAATTAAAGTCCATTCATACTTATTAATATAAGAGCTATGTTTAGCTTTTATTTTTGTCATTTAATTTTATGTTTTAGTTTTATGTTTGTCATTTAATTTTATATTCCCAGCTTTATATACATTTTAATTTTAAAGAAATATATTTTTGTAATAACTTTATTGAAATGTAATTTATAAATGATTAAGTAAACATATTTTAAAGTATATACTTGTAATAAGTTTTGACATACATATATATCCATGCAGTCATCACCATACTCTAGATGGGGAGCATACCCATCACACCCAAAATTTCCTTTTGCAATCTCTCCCTCCCATCCTAGTTCACTTCCCACCATCCTGCCCCACCCACCTTACCCTCAGCAACTAAGGATCTGCCTTCTATCACTATAGTTTTAGTTGCATTTTCTAGATTTTTCTATCAATGTAATCATACAATATGTACCCTTGTTTTGTCTGACTTTCTTCTCACTCAGCATAGTTTTGCTATCCATCCATAATACTGCATGTTTTTCTTTGTATTGCTAAATAGTATTCTGTTGTATGGATATACTATAATTCATTTACCCATTTTCCTGTTGATAAACATTTGTGTTGTTTTCCATTTTTAGCTATTACAAATATAGCTGTGATAAACATTTGTATACAAGTATTTGTATGAACATATACTTGTTTTTCTCTTGGGTAGTACCCAGCAGTGGAATGACTCATAAGGTAGGCATATATTTAACATTTTAGGAAACTGCCAAACTCTTTTCCAAAGTGGTTGCACTATTTTACATTCCCACCATCAGTATATGAGCGTTCTGCTTGTTCCACACCCTTACCTATACTTGAGATGGTCAGTCTTTCTAGCCTCAGTGATTCTAATAGGTGTGTAGTGGTATTTCATTGTAGTTTGAATTTGCTTTCCTCTAATGGTGCTGAGTATCTTTTCATATGCTTATTTGCCATCCATGTATTTCCCTTGGTGAAGTGCCTGTTCAGATCTTTTGGTCCCTTTGTTTTCTTATTACTACATTTTGAGAATTATTTATATAGTCTCTATATAAGTCTTTTTATCAGATATATGCTTTACACATATTTTCTTCCAGTTTGTAGCTTGTCTTTTCATTCTCTTAACAGTGTCTTTCAAAAATAAGTTTTTAATTTTGTATGAAGTCTAATTTATTAATTTGATCTTTTATGGACCTTTTATGCTTTTGATATTGTATGTGAGAAACCTTTGTTTTCTCTTATGTTTTGTTCTAGAAGTTTTATAAATTTTAGTTTCACACTTGGGTCTATGATCCATTTTTAGTTAATGTTTTTGTGTGATGCAAGTATAGGTCAAACATCAATATTTTTTCATAGAGATTATCCAATTGTTCTAGAACCATTTGTTGAAAACACTAAATTGCCTTTGCATCTTTGTCAAAAATCAGCTGCCCATATATCTATGGATCTACTTCTTGATTCTATATTCTGTTCCACTGATCTGTTTGTCTATCATTGCATCAATACTACATTGTTCTGATCACTGCAGTTTTATAATGTACTTTGAAATCAGGTACTGCTAGCTCTCCAATATCGTTCTTTTTCAAAGTCATTTTGGATGTCCAAGGTCTTTTACATTTCTATATAAGTTTTAGAATGAATCTAGATCAATCTGGGGGGAACTTACCTCTTAAAAATATTGAGTCTTTGGATCCATGAATAAGGTGCGTCTCTCCATTTTATTGTCTTCAGTAATTTCTCCCAGCAATGTTTTGTAGTTGTCAGTGTACAGTGTCTGACATCTTCTGTCAGACTTCTCCCTGAGTACTTCACATTATTTGATGCTATTGTAAAGGTTATTTTCTACAACTTGAATGTTCAATGTTCATTGCTATGATATAAAAATATAATTTTAATCCAATATTAATCCTGTATCCTGAAATCTTGCTGAACTCACTTATTAGTTCTAGTACTACTTTTCTCTTTTCCATCAGATTTTCTTACTAGGCAATCATGGGTTTTTTTGGTTTTTGTTTTTGAGACAGGGTCTCACTCTGTCACCTAGGCTGGAGTGCAGTGTCACAATCCCTGCTCACTGCAACCTCCACCTCCCAGGTTCAAGTGATTTTCATGCCTCAGCCTACCAAGTAGCTGGGACTACAAGCACGTGCCACCACGCCCAGCTAATGTTTGTATTTTTGGTAGAGACAGGATTTCACCATGTTGGCCAGGCTAGTCTCAAACTTCTGACCTCAAGTGATCTGCCCTCCATGAGCTCCCAAAGTACTGGGATTACAGGCATGAGCCACTGCACTCAGCCCAATCATGTTTTTGAGAATAAAGAGTTTTATTTTTTTTTCCCCAATCTGGATTCCCTTTATTTCTTTTTCTTGCCTTATTGCATTGGACAAAAACTCCATTACAATGTTGAATAGAAGTGATGAGAGTAGATGTCATTGTCTTTTTCCCAATATTAGGGAGAACACACTTAGTCTTTCACCATTAAGTATAATGTTAGGTGTACATTTTTCTTATATGCTCTTTATCAAGTTGAGGAAGTTCCCTTCTAGTCTTAATTTACTTAGAGATTTTGTCAAGAATGGATGTCTCATCTATTGAGATAAGCATGATTATTATTTTTTGCCTTGTTAATAAAATAAATGTTATTAACTGATTTCTAATATTAAACAAAATTTTTATTCCTTGAATAAACTCCATTTGGGCATAGGTATTATTGTTTTCATATATTGTTGGATTCAATTTGCTAAAATTTTATTTAGAATTTTTTGATTTGTATTCATTATGGATATTGGTCTGTAGTTTTTTTGTTTGTCTTTTTTTTTTCATTTTAACATATTTGGCTTTGGTATCAGGGTAGTTATGGAATCTTAAAATAAGTTGTAAAGTATTCTCTCCTTTTCAGTTTTCAGGATGTCTGTGTCAAATTTATGTTTCTTCCTTAAGTGTTTGGTAGAATTCATCAGTGAAACCAATTGGAATTGGAATTATATTTGTGGGGAGATTTTCAACTACAAACTCAGTTTTCTTACTAGATTTAGGGCAATTCAGGTTACCTATTTCTTCTCAAGTGAGGTTTGATAGTTCGCGTCTTTCCAGGAATTTTTCCATTTTATCTAAGTTCCCAGAGGTTTCTTGATTTTTCTCAAAGAACCAGTTTTCAGTTTCACTGATTTTCTTCATTATCTTTCTATTTTCTATTATATTGACTGTCATTCTGATTTTTACCCATTTCTTTTTTCCACGCACTTTGGTTTTGATTTGCTCTTCTGTTCCTAGTTTCTTAAGGTGGAAGCTGAAGTCATTGATTTGGAACTTTCTTCTTTACTAATATAGGTGGTTAGTGCTATGAATTTTCCCTAAGTACTGTTTAGCAGCATTCCACAAATTTTAATGTATGGTATTCTGATTTTCATTCAGTTTGAAATACTTCATAATTTCCTTCTGATTTCTTCTCTGACCCATGAGTTAGTCACAAGTATGGCAGCGATGGGTATTTTTCCCTCTAATCCTTTTGTTGGGTTCTTCCCCCAGCTTTGGATAGCTTCCTCACATGTGTATGCTGACCAGAATCTTCTGTGGATCTTTGAAGCCTTCTCTCCCTGTGGCTTTATCCTCTCCAGTACTCTGTCCTGTGAATTCTGTCTACCATGGTCTCTCTGAACTCTCAGTTTCATCTCCTCTACTCCAGAAGTCTGCTGGACTCTGTCTGGGTCCCTTCCTTATGTCACAGCCTGAACACTGCCTCCAGGCAGTAAACTGAAGCAGTTGTAGGCTCACCTCATTTGTTTCCTTTATTTTAGGGATTGCTGTTCTTTATTGCCTGGTGTCCAGTGTCTTAACAGCCATTATTTCATATACTTCGGTATTTTTGGTTGTTCCAAGTGTGAAAATAATCCAGTCCCTCTTATTCATGTTGGCTGGAATCAGAAGTCAGTCTAGCTTGCATTTATGGACGTATGTATGTCATTTACTATAAAAACAGCTCTATTTTGTTTTTTGTTTGTGCTTTCTCTGCTATTTAAGATGGGTTACATTTCTATTTTAGTGGTTACCAGTTTATATATTTATAAAACATCCTTAGTTCTCTCTACTTTTTGGACACTATCTGCTAGTTCATTATAAATGATGACACAATTAGTGTGCTTATCTTCCTCCTTCTTAACAAACCCATTTCAGTCAACAACATTTTCCTTAGTGTGTCTGTTTATATGGATACTTATGTAATTAAGCTTATACTTCTATTATTTGAGTCTTCTACTTTCCCTCCTATTTTTATTGTCCCTTTAGTATAATTTCCTGGTAATAAGGGCAAAAATGTTGACTTAAACAGACATATTTCATTAGAAGTCCCAAAAGCATTGCTTTAGAATATAGAGAAATGTATCTGAGCCCTGGTTCCTCTAATTACCAGCTCTATTCTGACCTTGGGGTAGCAGCTTAACCCATCAGAGTGTCAGTCTTCTAGTCTATAAGGAAGAATAACAATACAGTTGACTGAAGAACAACATGGGGATTAGGGGCGCCAACCCCCTGCACAATTGAAAATCCACGTATAACTTTTGACTCCTCAAAAATTTAACTTCTAGTAGCCTACTTTTGACTAGAAATCTTGCCAATAATACAAACAGTCAATTAACACATATTTTGTATGTTATATGTACTATTAGTATATACTGTATTCTTACAATAAAGTAAGCTAGAGAAAAGCACATATTGCTAAGAAAATCATAAGGAAAAGAAAATATATTTACTATTCATTAAGTGGAAGTGGATCATAATAAATGTCTTCATCCTTTTTGTCTTCATGTTGAGTAGGCTGAAGGGGAGGTAGAAGGGAGGAGTTGATCTTGCTGTCTGAGATGTGCAGAGGTGGGTGAAAATCTGCATATAAATGGACCCTTGCTGTTCAAACTGTGTTGTTCAAGGATCAACTGTATCTATTTTTTAAGGTTGTCATGAGACTTACTCCATATAACACATGTAAAATGCTTAGCATAAAGCCTGATGCATAGAAAATGCATACAAAATGTTAGTTATAATTATTATTAATAGAAATAGAAATCAACAAACAAATATATATGTACTATGTACTATATACCAGGCACTGTGCTAGCCACCTTACATTCCTTGTGTAATCTTTACAATGAATCTACGGCAAATGCATTACCTCATTTTAGAGAGGAGGGAGGGAGGCCGTAAGAGGTTAAGAATATAACAAAAGTCGCTCAGCGTGCGCAGGAATGACAATGGTGAAATTAAGACCTAAATGATGTCAAGTTCAGAGCTCTTGCCACTACTCCACAGCTGCCTCTATTGTGCTGAACCTTGCTGTGCTAATGAAAGCAGCACACATACACATACACGCACATATGTGTGCTCACTTTATTCTGAGAACAAACTTGGCTTTACAGCTCAGTATGTATACAGGATACACCTGGATGAATATAACCTGCCTGTTTTTCCAAACCCTAGGTTCAGAGTCTGGCTTGCAGACAAGGTACAGATGGAAATCTTCCTGGACTCAGGCCAAGAAGAGGAGAAAGGGTGAGAAAGGCTTGCCCCATGGCCTGCAGTAGCGCTGAGTATACCCTTTAGATTAATCCTTGGAGAGTAGCTGGAGGAATGAAGCCAGTGATGTCTCTGGCTTGCCCAGTGCTTTACAGTTTACAAATTTCTTCAGCACTCACGCCCTTTTAGACTTTTCATGGCAGTATTATAGCTGAGGAAATGGGGGTTAATATCCTGCCCAAGGTCACATGTTAGTTGGTGATAGGGCCTGGACGACAATCCCAGATCTCCTGGCCACCTGTCCAGCGCATTTCTCATGATACAGTTTTGACTTTATGGATAGTATTTTCCCTTTTCTAGTTCTGTTGGGGCATGATTGTACCCCATAGATGTGTAAAAGGAAAATCAATATTTGACTGGATACTGAACGTCCTCAGCATTATGCTATGAGCTGCAACAGATAAAAAAGCTTAAAGTCTGGTCCTGGTTCTTAATATTCATTCATTTACTCATTCATTCATTCATTCATGCTAAGGATTCACTAGTACCAGGCCCTGTTAGGATCTGGGAAATACCCTTCAAGGGGCTCACTATATAATAAAGTAGACGGATTCAAAAGTCAACTGTTCTAACTCAGAAGGAGAAGAGCTAAAATACATGTATTTGGGGTGTGGTGGGTTGTACTATTGAGAGTAGTTAACTTTGCCTGTGGGATCCAGGAAGGTATCCTAGAAAGATGAGGGTGGAAAGCCTCATAGGAGCTGAGGGATAGAATCTGACACAGATGGAGGCAGAAGTGGGCCTACCAGTGAGTGGGTGTGGCTGAAGGCAGGAAGGGTAGGGCAAGGCTGGGAGTTAGGTGGGCCACATGGCCACATTGTGGAGGCCTCATGATCATGCTGAGGAGTTTAGACTCTATCCTGTGGATGATGGAAAGACATTCCAAAACATTAAAGCTAGGCAAAGTGGCTCACACCTATAATTCCAGCACTTTGGGAGGCTGAGGTAGGAGGATCATTTGAGTCCAGGAGGTCGAGACCAGCCTGGGCAACGTAAGGAGAGCCCCATCTTTACAAAAAAATTATTTTAAAAATTAGTGGGTTGTGGTGGTGCATGCTTGTAGTCCCAGCCACTCAACCACTCAAGAGGCTGAGATAGGAGGATCGACTGAGCCCAGGAGGTTGAGGCTGTAGTGAGCTATGATTCCGCCACTGTACTCCAACCTGGGCATTAGAGCAAGACCTTGTATCTAAAGAAGAAAAAGTAAAAGAAAAAAAAAGTAGTAATAATATGATCAGATTTGATTAGAAAGCTCACTGTGACACATGTGAGAAGAATGGACCAACAAGAGTGGGATCAATGAAGAAACTGGTCAAGGTGAGGCCCACAGAGCAGGGTGTGGGGGGATGGGGAGAATTGTTCTGGCTAAACCCTACTCACATTGTAAGGCTCAGCATAGACAACAGCTCAAAGAAGGACCTTTAATATGGTTAGGAGCTCCTCCCCAGGGACCCCTCTCCAATGCCCTCAAAGCAGAACCTGAGCTCACTAGTGGTTACAGCTATAGCTTTTAAGCCAACTTTATAAGCCATTGCACCTTCCTCCACTGCTAGTGAGTTGTGTGACTTTGGCCAAGTTGTTTATTCACTCTGTTGTCTTGGTTTCCTTATCTATAAGGTAAAGATACTAATATCACCTATCTCTTAGGGTTATTGTGATGATTAAGTGGTTTAATGTATATAATGCTCTTAGAACAGTGTCCAGCAGTGATTAAGCGTGCAATAAAAGTGGGCTTTTATTATCGCTACACCCATTTGCTATTGAGAAATTGTGTATTTATGGATGCACCTGACCAGCCAGGGAGCTCCTTAGGGACAGGTATCCCTGTGCCAGCAGAGGGCCTGGGACAGAGCAGGCCCTCAATAAATATTTGTTAAATAAATTGGAGATGTAGGGGAAGATACATTCAATGAATATTTAGGAATTAAATTGTGCATTGCTGGGTGATGGACAGAACATTAGGTAGAGGGTTCAGGGGGAGAATAAAATCATTCTGAGCTTTCTAAACTGGGACAAAAAGATGACGGTGATGCCATGGCTGAGACAGGGAATCTGAGAGAAGGAGTTGGTTCAGAGAGATAAGTAGCTAACCTGCCTGAGATCCAATCTTTAGAAATGGACAAAGCAGAGATTTGAACCCAGGTCTGTAAGAGTCCATGTTTCATAAACAAGTTTATGTAACCTTCATGTCTGTATGTCATTGCCTAGCACAGGGCCTAATGCAGTAAGTATTTAATAACATATGTCAAACGAGTAGGTAGATGCTTAAGTAAATGGTTCTCCTTTGTAGATGCCAGGGTATTATGGTTGCTTTTCTTTTCAATGGTAAATAGAAGTCTGTGAAGACAAGAGAAAAAGAAAAGAAAATCTCCATTAAAGATTAAAGAAAGAGGAACTAGTAATCAATATTTCAAATGAATGAACAAGAGGAGCCATCATCCTTCTTCTTCCCTTTTTCTGACACATCAGGACATTTTTTAAATGATTTCCAGCTTCATAACATACTCTTGCAAACTGCTAGGAAGGATGACTAAAACTACCCACCAGGAAGTTTTGCAAAGCCCAAGCCAAAAAAAAAAAAAAAAAGTGATATCAAGGAATCTAGGAAACAGGAAAATGCCTGGTGACAGGGAGACCAGTCATGCAGGCTCCTCTATACATGATCCCCATTTCAATCACCACCTCCTCAGAAAACAGATTTCTTAAGTCAAAGTGCTTATGGAATTGGCACCTGAGCGTTAGGGCAGGAAGAACTGTCTACATAGTGCCTATTTGAAATTAATAAGTTCTCCTTCAATACAAGTCTGGGTAGCAGAGCAGCAATAATAATAATTATTATAATGCCTATAATTTATTGAACGTTTCCCTCTAAAAACTGGTAAGTACTTTATGCACACTATTTCATTGAAACCTCGCCAAATCCTACAAGAAACATACTGTTAGCACCATATGAAAGACAGGAAAACTAAGCCTCAGAGAGGTTAAGTAACCTGACCAAGGTCACTCAGCAAGTAAGGTGATATAAACCCTTATTCATGGATAAATTTTCTCCTTGACTCCTTTGAATTTGGAGCTGTGCATGGTTTAACTTCATCCAAATAATCCTAGTTGAGGCATGGAGCTCACATTCTAACTCCAGGGATGACAAGAGTATCTCTGCTCAAATGCCTTTTGCCAGTCCAAAGAAATTTGAGAAGTGTTGTGCAAGGATCAAGAGACATGGATTCAGAGAACTGGGTTCCAGTATTGACTTTGCCACTTATTGCTTGTGAGGCTTCTGCTGAATACCTTAAATTCTTTGGGTCCCATTAGTTTCTTAGTTTTTCCTCCTTCCCTTTCAACCCTCCTGCCCAGCACACACTCTGGAATATGAAAGGATTTATCTCAATGATCTCTCAAATCTCTTAGGAAACTAATTTTTTGTTTCAATAATTGTATCTTTTCTAATAAAAATTTTCTAGTTAAAAAGGGATACAAACGTTTTAAAGAGAAACATACATGTTAAAGAAAAAGCAACACATACTTGTTAAAGGATACAAAAGAGTAGAAAGTAAAATGTTTCTTTTATACAAGTAGAGTTATTGCTAGAATTTTAAATTTAGAAAAAACTATTAAAGGCCGGGCACGGTGGCTCATGCCTGTAATCCCAGCACTTTGGGCTGAGGAGGGTGGATCACCTGAGGTCAGGAGTTCAAGACCAGCCTGACCAATATGGTGAAACCCTGTCTCTAATAAAAATACAAAAATTAGCCAGGCATGATGGCGGGCACCTGTAGTCCTAGCTAGTTGGGAGGCTGAAACAGGAGAATTGCTTGAACTCAGGAGGCAGAGGTTGCAGTGAGCTGAGATCACACCACTGCACTCCAACCTGGGTGACAGAGTGAGACTTTGTTTCAAAAAACAAAAACAAAAACAAATTTAAAAACTATTAAAGAAGGTTGATAAAGCTTTAACATTTAGCAACAACAACAAGCATGTTTGAACACTTCTTGTCACTTTCCTAAATATTTATTGACTTTCCTTTTGAAAGCATTTGTATTGCATATCCCCTTTCCAATATTCAGTGTTAAGGCTTAACAAGTCCCTAGGAACATTTTTATTCCTTTGGTGACTGAAAGTAAAATAAAGCAAAACCAAATCTTCTTGGGGAAATTTCTGTCCAAAATAATTCACTCCACAGCCTCTAGTTAAGAGCTTACTGTTCTCACGACTTGTGCAAGGAGATGCACAGAACACAATGTGGTCTAGTTGAGGGGACCCAGTGCTCAGTGGAGACAAAGCCAAAGAGGATCTGTGAGTGAATGAAGGTGAGTACCCAGTGCTGTGGGAGTGCAGATTAATTCTGTCACAGAGGAAGTGACAGAGGCTGCGTCTTGAAACGTGAACTGGAGTCCAACAGATGGCAAAACCTTGGGAAAGCAACCACTTAGACAAGCTCTTGTTTGGTTACCCAGTGCTAGAGTGACAATATAATTTATTTTCCAAATTATGGTACCTGATAATAAAAGGGGAACTATTGGCAATTATGTCAGGACAATGGGTGTAAACCAGAACCTCCTAGGTAAACCAGATGATATGGTGATTTTACTGTGTGCAAAGATTTTTATATCATGAAAAACAGGTCCCTGAATTGCATTTCATGCTTATTGAAACCTGTGACAAGATAGTATGTTAAAAATGCTCCAGAGAAGCCTTCCCCACCCTGGCTAACTTTCTGAAAAAATTGTAGATGTTTCCCTAACAATGCTTTTTAGTCCTATTGCTGGATTTTAGCATAACATCTATATGGCAAATTGTTCCAACTTAGGAACACATTGTTGTATTATCCTTAAATTCATTTGGTAGCAACTCAAGACTTTCCAAACCACACTGATAGTCAACCTTATAAGTTTTGATCTTCCAATAATGCTTTGGGGACCCACTCAATGCTTCAAACTTCAGTGCTTCTAGTTGGTGTTTTTTGATTTGTTTAGCTGTGTTCGCAGTTGTAATTCCATAGAGGCAGCAAAGGTTCTCTCTTAGCTGGGACTATTCAGGAGTGGGAGAGGAAAACCAATGCATTTTAACACAGGATTGATGTTTTCATCTAGATGTGACATCTGTGGTGGTGTGCTATGGGGCAGGAGGAATAGCATGTGCAAAGGCATGGAAGCAAGAGCAAGCTTAGAGTATTCAGGGGACTATGCGAGATTCTCTGGCTGGGAGTGGAGCTGGGAATGTGGTAGGAGAAAACGTGAAAAAGGTGAGTTAGTACTAGATTGTGGAAGGTCTTGAATGCCACCCCAAGGAGTCCGGACTTCATCCTGTTGGGAAAGGTGAGCCTCGGGAGCTATTTGAGCAGGATATTTGTGGTTTTTCATTGTTTGTTTGTTTGTTTTTAAAGACAGTAAACTGAATAAAACCTGGAGCCAATTTCTCCCTCCAGTTTTGCAGGTCTGATTTAGCCTAACTTTTTGCTAATGTGTTCGCTGCCTCCACCACACTCCAAACCCTACCTCCAAGGAAATGTATCTCAATTGACTGGGAATTATAGATGCACATTTCTGATGCTTTGAGTTCAGCCCACTCCCAATCAAGGCTGTACTGAAATTCCTTAGCATCCCACAGCTCTGTCCCCAGGCAGGACCCCATCAGTGGGGGCTGGGGGTGAGGCCCAAAAAAGTAGGAGCAGAGGCTTCTGTCCTCTGGCCACCCAATTGTAAACTACTCCTGAGACCCTCCCTTGGTGGAATTCATATTCTCCCTTTTCTTAACCCTTAATACAAATCATGTCTTCCTGGAGCCCAAGTGCAAAGTCATGAATGAAACTCACGTAAAAAGGCAGCTGTACCCTTTTTGGCTGTTCAGGATTCTTAATAATGAACAGGCTTGAAAGACAATAGGTTCTTTGTCCCCAGAGGTATCGAAACAGGCATGTGTTAGAGAGGATTCTTGCAGGCCTTGGGAGCCAAAGCCTGACAAGTGATGATCCTACATCCCACCCAACTAGTTACAAGCTTGTTAACCTCTAGCCTCTGTTTCCTCAGCTATAGAAAGGGGATCATAGTAGTGACTTCTTTACAGGGTTCTTGAGAATACTAAACAAGACAATGATGGCACTTGGCCCAATGCCAGGCACTAAGACCTGCCCAGAAAAAGCTGGCAATTATCAAAACTGGTACAATCCTCTACCTCTGAGTTCATGGTAGCCAGTGGTTGAGCTTCATGCTTCCAGGGGCAAACCAGTCATTTATTTTTTAGTGTGACCGCTAACTGGGAACATTACACAAGCAAAGTCCTAGAGGCACAGAATTAATACACTGAATATTACCCTTTGAAGTCATCTAGCAGCGGGAGCCAAACTTATCATTTTGCAGAAGGGGAAACAGATTCAGACAGAGGGAGGAACAGGCCCAATCCAAACATAAAGTTAAAGGCAGAGCCAGGATGAGAACCTAGGTCTCTGATACCTACTCCTGCTCTTAACTCTGCAACATGCTTTCTATCTCACTATCTTAGTAAGCAACATTCAAGACCTTCACGATTCCGTCTTCATTCAGTGAACATCTGATTACTTAGAGGTTCAAATTGCTTTCTATATCTTAACTCATTCAATCCTTATAGCAACCCCACAAGGCTGATCTTATTGTCAATCTCCATGTTGTAGATAAGGACAGTGAGGCTGAAAGGGGTTAAGTCACTTGGTTAAGGCTCACAACCAGTAGGTAGTAAAGCCAAGATCTGAAACTGGACAGTTGGGCTCCTAAGCCTGTGCCCTTAACCACAACACCATATTGACCCTTCAAGAGTGAAAAAGTATGTGGCGTCTGCCTTAGACAGGCATACTCCCCAGGTGGGAGACACAACCTGCAATAAGTGTGTGCAACCTCATACTATGGGCACCAAGAGAAGAAAGGAAGGAAGGATTAATTTTACAGGGGGAGGAGGGAGAGAATCAGGAAAGCTGCCTGGAGGAGGTGAGCTTTATCCAGTTTCCAGAGCTGACTCACTTTCCTCCAGGTTTCTCTGCAGATGGACGAGTCTTTGCTGAGGCAGGCAGGTAGAAAGGGACTGGAGCTTAAGGGATGCAGTCAAGGAAGTCAGTGAGAGAGGGAGGGCAGGACATTAGGCTTGAAGTGTGTGAGGTGGGCAAGTTAATGAACCTCCAAGAGCCTCAACTTTCTCATCTGCAGAATGGGGATGATAACACCCACCTTCTGAAGCTGTTTGAATATTAAATGAGATAACGTGTATATACTTCCCGACCCAGTATTATTCCTCTTTATTTACCTTTCATAAAACTATTTCACTCACTAAAAATAAATTTAATTGAGCATATTTTTGACACAGTAGCATTAATAATCTTGAGTGTCATTATCAGTCATTCATAATAACAATATAATGAATAATAATGTTAATTGCCATTGACAGCACTAAGTGCTTAAAATGTATGATCCGTATTTATCCAATCTAATCCTCAGAATGTATCTTAAAGATAGGTAAGGCGTCATTATCCCCATTTTACAGATGAGGATAATGAGGCTGAGAGAGATGGAGAAAGATATACAAAGGTCACCCAGCGAGGAAGCGGCAGGATGGGTATTCAGACCCAGGTCTGTTGGTCCCAGAAAAATGTCCCCCCACACAGAGGATGTCCCGTGTTTGCAGTTCATGTTGGTCTTGGCCACGTCCCTCCGCTCTTTCTCAGAAGGAAAACAAACATTCTAAGAGGTCTGCTAGGCCGAGGGAACGCGAACGCCAAAGAGAGGGAGGGAAGGGGCTGGCCGAGGCCGGAGGATGGGCCCAGACTGGGAGGGTGGAGCCGGCTCCTCGCCCCGAGCCCGACAGCCGCATAAAGCCTGCTGCTTTCACTGGCCCGGTGGGGGCCAGCAGGGTCAGGGCCCGCGGAAACCCTCAGCCTGGCGGGCCGGGAGGCCGCGGTGCTGCACTGGCTCGGCGCGCTCCCCGAGTGGCGCTCAGGCGGGGCGCGTTCATTTCATCTACAGACTGTCGGGAAGGCTTCCCGAACTCCTCCTCCCTGCCCGCCTTTGCGCAGGGCCGGACTCTTCGGAAACTGAAATCACGGGCCGCCCGGCCCCCACCAGTCCTCGTGGGATCCGGCCCGGGTTAACCTTCTATGGGGAGGCCCAGGAGGGCCGGGCGGAGCGCCGGGGCGGGCGTGCGCTGACGTGGCGAGCGGCTCCCTCCACCCGCTCCTCCCGCGGGCACTGCCGAGGCCCATGGGCGGGAAGCCGGGCGGCGGGCGGGACGTGGCCTCGGTCCCGGCCCTGCCCCGCCCCGCCGCCACTGAGACTCCCAGCGCCACCAACGTCGGAGTTGCAGTTTCTTTAGCTGTCATATGCAGACAAGTACTACCCACCTCGCCTTTGGAGTGAGCAGCATGTATGTACGGTACCTGACACCTAAGAAATGCTCAATGTATGGTCCCTACATGGTGTCACTGTGATTGTTGTCGTTGTGGTTACGCTGGGTTGGGCAGCTCGCCTTGTGAAATAATGAGCTCCCATTGCTGAGACCGTTCAGGCACAAGTTGAATGAGTTCGGGGGACAAAAAGAAATACGTTAGAACAGGAAGTCCCCCAAATTTGGCATCCCTCAATACCGATCTGGTGACTTCAGAATCACCTGGGAAGCTCAAACAGCACCTCAGACCAGGGATCGAAATCCCGGAAGGCAAGCTCGTCTAAAAGTACAGCTTCATGTGTAAACCACTGATCTAGGCCAATAGTCCCTGCACTTTTCATCTTCAAAGACCCTTCTGTGATTCCCTCCTGCCCCACTGACTGCACAGTGTAAAGTATGTTGTTGACCAAACTAGATTTAACTCACAATTAATTTACTCTCTAACTAAATTATTAATCAAAGCCCCAGAGTTCATTAAACAATTATTGAATACCTACTGTGTGCCAGGCACTGTGCTGGACACTGGTGGTCTGGCGGATAGACAAGGACTCTGTCCTCATGGACTTACCAGTCTGGGGAGGGAAAGCAGAAAATGAACAAGAATTCAAATACTGACACTGAAGCCAAGAGAATCCAGCTGAGCTGAAGGCACCCAATATTCCTACAATGAGCAGATATGGGTGTATCAAAAGCAAAAGCAAATAGAAGCCTGGCACGGTGGCTCACATCGGTAATCCCAACACTTTGGGAGGCCGAGGCAGGCAGATCGCTGCCTGCCTTAGAATATATTGTGATAGAGAAGAGTCCATGAGTTCAAGACCAGCCTGACCAACATGGTGAAACCCCATCTCTACTAAAAATACAAAAATTAGCCGAGCGTGGTGGCGCACTCCTGTAATCTCAGCTATTCAGGTGGCTGAGGCACAAGAATCCTTTGGACCCGGGAGCAGAGGTTTCAGTGAGCTAAGATCATGCCACTGCATTCCAGCCTGGGGGACAGAGTAAGATTCTGTCTCAAAAAAAAAAAATGGAACTGTATAATTCCCCTGAGAAAGGTGGGTGTACCCCTCAACACACAAGCACACATGCATATACCACAGCATTATTATTTTCATGGATCCCAAAAGGTCCAGGTCCTAGATGAAGAACATGTAAGGCCTCATGAAGAAAGTGCCTAAAGCCGGCATACAGGAAGACCCTGTAGACCAGATTCCTGCCTATGTGACCAGTTGCACTGCCTGCCTCACCTGTGAGGAACTACTAGCAGCTGCCCCCAAACACTCCAAGTAGAGTAGCTGAGAGGATGGGCTCTGAAGCTAGGCTGCCCAGGGCTGAATTCTAGCTCTATTCCTTACTAGCTGTGTGAGCAAAGGCAAGGTGCCTGTTCTCTATGTGCCTATGTTTCCTCTTCTATAAAGTGGTCTGAATAATACCTACTTCACAGAATTGACATGGGAATCAGAGAGATGGCACTTAAAACAGGTGGTAAGCACTCAATATGTGACCCCTTTTTTTTTTTTAACCTTTGATGCTCTCTCTCCCTGGAGTAACCCCTTTCCCCCTTTCTCTGCCTGGAGAGCATATCAGCCCAATGTCCCTTCCTTTCCAGAGGCCTCCTTGCTTTACTTCATCAAGTAATTTGATGCTTTTCCTCTATGTTCTTGTGGCTCTTTTTAGACACCTCTTAAGCACCCGTCATATTGCAGTCATTTGTCTTACTGTTGTGTAGGTGTTTGCCCTCTTCACTGGATTATGAGTTCTTAAAAAGCAAGGGCCAGATTTTATATATCTTTTCATCTCTAGGGACAAGACAGTCCCTGGAGTAAACAGTTGACACTATCTGTTGAATTAATGAGTGGACAGATGGATGATGGATAGATGAGTGAAGTGACTTGCCCAGGATCACAGAGTTTAAATCCAGGGTCTCTGTTTAATTTACGTTGGGAAAATTACTCTTCTGAGCCTCTGGTTTCCCATCTGGAAAACAGATTTGATAATAATGGCTCCTACATCTTGGCATGGGAGGGTTCAACAAAGTACACATAGGGAAGTATTCAAGAATATAAGCTCTAGAGTCAGATTGCATGGGTTCAAGTCCCAGCTCCACCACTTATGAGCTGTGTGATCTTTGATAAATTCTTAACCTTGCTATGCCTAGAGGAGGCAGAACACATTAATGAGCTGTTCAGAAAATTAAAAGACATACTCTCTGTGAAGTCCCCAGTGCCTGGCTCAGAGTAGGTATTCAGTAAGTAAATATTGGTTTCCTTCCCCCAACCCCCACCTTCTCCAGACCTGTAGGGTTTGGACTCTGAATACCCAAAACAGCTGTTCAAATGCCATGTTTTGTTCCTAGTGACTAATGTCCCTTAAGCCAAGGTTGGAAAGGCGACTCCAGAATTGAGCTTACACTTGGGTACTGAGTTAGATGAGGGGAATGTGGCTGAGTGGTTTATTTAATTAATAAGGAAACTTTTGAAAGGAGACAGTTTAAAATCAACAAACATAATACAAAATTGAAAGCAAGAGCTAACCCACAATTTCATATATGGGTTTCATATGTCATTGGAATATTTCTTTATGTAAAGCTATGAATAACAGGATCATCCAAACCCAAAATAATGTATTACAAACCATAAGAGCAGTGATCAGAATTGGTTTTGCAGCAAATTAGCCAGTTAATCAGTGTACAACATTGTAACAATTCTTGAATTTCCTTCTTCTCTATCACAATGTATTCTAATAAACTATTCAAAATTCTCCAATGGTCACATGTCAATTACTAAGCCAAAAAGTATGGAAGAAAAAGGGAAATATCTTTTTATGTTGGACCTAGTCTCCCATCACATGCCCACCCAGAACTCCCCAAATCTCCTTCTTACTCTGGGGTTTGGAAGAGGCTGAAATGTGGGTACTCAGGGCCCTGGAAGCTGGCAAGTATTTGGCAGTTCAGTTCAAAGAGGAAATCCGAGAGGGTAGGGGCCTCAGCGGGACCGAAGGGATGAGATGCACAGAGAGGGAGGGAGAAGGGCAGGAATCTTATTAGCAAAACTAGCTGCCTGCCAAGTAGGGCATGTGTCTGAATTTCTGAAGAAAAGAGAGGATAGTTGCTGTTAGTTTTAACTTCAGTCCTTCAAAACTTGGGTAAAAAGGCGAATTGTGCGTGTGTATAATACTCCACTCTCTATTTCCCAAATAAACTCTATCTGTATCTTCCATCTGAATCTTTCTTAACCTGACCCTTACTTATCCATACCTTGAGCTTTGTTGAAACCCTGTTCTAAGAACTCCTTCCTGATCTCTTCCGTTTGGGAATGAATCTCTACCTTCTTCTCTTACGTGCCCATGGTACTTTGTGTCCCCACTTTAAGACTGCTCACAGACTTACTTAATTATACGCCAGCCAACTTCCTTCATTCTTTTCCCCACTTACGTTCCTCTTTTTAAATAGCTTTATGGAGATATAATTGACATACAATAAACTGTGTGTATTTAAAGTGTACAATTAGATACGTGCAGACATGAGAAACTCTCAGTACCAGATAGTAAGCATGTCTACCACCCTAAAAGGTTCCTTGTGCTTCTCTGAATCCTTTCCTTCTGCCTCACTTCCCCAAACAACCATGGATCTGCTTTCTGTCACTGTAGATCAGCTTGCATTTTCTAGAGTTTTCTATAAATGGAATTATACAATATGTACTCTTCTTTCATTGGCTTCTTTCACTGTGCACAATTCTGTTGAGATTCATCCCTTCAACCTTCCCTCCTTATTGGATTGTGGACTTCGCCAGGCAGGAACGATGGCTCGCCCGGGGCATGGAGCTCAGTGATGGGCACAAAGCAAGACTCATGGAGGAGGATGTGTTTGGCAGCTCTGGATTTTGTGGGAGAATATATGTGGCTTTCAGGCTGGACTCGGTCACTTGTAGCTGCGTAGCCAGCAGTCAGTCAGTTACAATCGCAGCCTCAGCTTCCTCATCTGTAAATTGAGGGTGATGATAAACTCCCTTCTCTCTGGAGGGTTCTGTGAGACTTCACTGAGCCAGGAGATAAAGTGCTCTGTAAACTGTGAAAGGTCAGTCCTGGGCAAAGGATTAGGCCTGGATCAAGCCAGCAGCACACTGGGAATGCCCCAGATCCCAGGGCTAGTCAAAGTCAGCGTTGTCATCCAGGGAAGCCATGTGGATTTGAGATTCCTCATAGAAATAGCCAATAAGGACTATGCCTGGTGGACTTTAATCCTGGCCCAGTCGCCAGAATGTCAAGGTTTCTTTCCCCTTGACCCTCCCCCCTTCCTCTGCGTGGGCTGTATGTATTTATGAGGTCTCTCTCCCTCCAGAGAGCCACACGTGACCGGAGGATTCCTCCTCTGGCCTGGAGCCGGCTGATAAGGGCAGTCCATCTGCTGGGGGCTCCCAGGACCAGCAGAAACAGGAACCAAGCTGGTGGAAGGGAGCAGGGGAGACTGCCAGGCCTGGCTGCAGCTTCCTCTGGCTAGAACTGAGGAGAAGGGGGAGAAGGAGAAAAGGAAATATTTGTCGCATATTTAAAGTCAACTTGACCTATAAAATCACACCAAACTTGGGGAGGCTGCCTATCTCCTCTGATGGACTACATTTCTTATATGGTATTGCTTAATAAAGAGAAGTATGGTGAACTGGAAGAGCCCAGAGATGGAGATTCAAGGCCTAGCACAGTCACTAATTTCCTATGTGAGCTTGCAAAAGCTGGTTTCCGTCTCCGGGCTTTACTTAATTAGAACCATTAACTGAATACCTACTGTGTGTTAGCCACGACACTGCATTTTCCATATGCTTTTATAAATGTAACCTTCAAAGCTATCCTGAGAAGTGAATATTCTTCCTCTCATTTTACAGTTGATGAAGGTGAAGTAACATGTACAAAGTCACCTAGGAAATAGCCAAATTATGAACTTAGTGCTATCTGGCAACAGAATCCACATTATTATTATTATTATTTTTTGAGAACTTAAGGACAGCAATTCTCAAGGAATTAGCTTAATACTGAATTATTTGGCCGGGTGCAGTGGCTCACATCTATAATCCCATGACTTTGGGAGGCCGGGGCGGGTAGATCATCTGAGGTCAGGAGTTTGAGACCAGCCTGGCCAACATAGTGAATGAAACCCCATCTCTACTAAAAATACAAAAATTAGCATGGCGTGGTGGCGCTGGCCTGTATTCCCAGCTACCTGGGAGGCCGAGACACGAGAGCCGCTTGAACCTGGAAGGTGGAGTTTGCAGTAAGCTGAAATGGCACCACTGCACTCCAGCCTGGGCAACAAAGTGAGACTCTGTCTCAAAAAAAAAATTATAATAATACTAATAAATAATAATAATAGCAAATTATTTCTTGCTCATACTCTGTGGAAAGAAGGCTCTGTAACCAACTTAATATGGGGAATGCTGCATACAGCATATCCCTGTCTTGAAGACCCACAATTTCATTTTCATGTCTTAGAAGGTTCTGAAAAATCTTGGAGTAAAGAGATTTAACTCCTTCATTTAACCAAGGTCTTTGGGTTCAAGGCATGAATATATGGCCTCACAGGCAGCCACCAGTCCCAAGAATGAGTTCTGCTTGGCTGTGTCCTCACACATCCTCCCTCAAGAGTCCCTCATCATGGAGCTCAGCCCTCTGGCAGTGATCTGCTAAGGTCTGTCTTTCCCTGGAAAAGGGCTTTCCAAACTTTAAAGTGCTGCATGAACAAAAGGCCTCATTCCCCTAACTCCTAGTGAAGCAGGCTTACAGTCCCACAGGACTTTTCATGTTCTCATCACACTTACTTTATATTGAACCTACAGGCAGTGGCCAATACATTGTCTAGCTTGGAGCAACTCCTTTCTGCTCCGTGGGCCTCAGTGTCCCCATCTGTCAAATAATATATTTGAGCTTTCTGTGATTCAGACACTTTTAGTCTTTTCTTATCCACACTTCTCTTTTTCCCTACCTACCACATTTCTTATTAAACCAAGTCTTCTGTTATTCAGGAAATAGTTTTATCCTCCCATATACCATAATAATAAGCATTTCTTGAACGTTTGTCATGTGTAAGGCACTGTGCTAAAAGCCTTATAGATAGCATCTCATTTAAGCCTCTCCATACCCAAGTGAATTAAACACTATTATTATCCCCTTTTATAATTGTGGAAACTGAGGCATTAAGCAGTTGAGTCATGGATCACATGCCTCATGAGGAGAACAGCTGAAAATTACAATCCAGCATCTTCCCATGGCTCCCTGATCCTAGGCTGTGAATCAGGACCAGTCCTTGGACCTGAGCTCAGCCCAGGTCTCAGATTACGGAAAAGAGACAAGGGTCCAGGGAAGTTTTTGTTGTTGTTGTTGTTTGTTTTTTGTTTTTTGTTTTGTTTTGTTTTGGCCTTTTGTTGTTGCTGCTGAAACCCATGAAGCATCCTCCTTTCTGTTTTGCAGAGGAAGGAAATATGGTTATACTTTCCTTGCTAAGGAAATCCAACCCTCCACAAGGCAGCTTTCTTCCCATCCCCTTGACCTTTTAGGAAAAAGGTGAGGCCCCTGGGAAGGCTCTGGGGGAGACCAGAGGAGCTCAATGTGCCCTGTCTAGGGCAGGGGTATTTTTAGAGCTGGCTGCACACTGTTTACAAGGAAGCCAGTCCCTTGAGCGTGCCCTCGCCCTACAGGGAAACACTGGCCGCCAGCCCCACCCGCTGGCCCAGGCTCCTGCTGGCCCTCCCTTCCTCCCTCCCTCCCAGCTGTTCCTTTCTTATCGTCTCTATCAGCATGTGGGCTCTATCAGCATGTGGGTGTGCTGTCATTAGCACCCTGAGAGCACAACTGAACAAAACTGTAGCCCAGGGCATTGAAAACCTCTCGGAGAGGGCCAGGTGTGACCAGGTACTGGGGAAAAAATAAGAAGCTGCCATCAGTTGAGAAGATGGCCCTGGCAACTGGCTATCAACTGAAAATCCTGCAAAAGGATATTTCTCCTGTGAAGCAGGTGTGGAACCTCATTGTCCCGGACTTCCTGAAAGTGAAGGCCTGACAACTGGAGAGGGTGGCTTGGGGGAATGAAGAGGCCACAGGCCTGGGCCAGGAGCTCAGTTCTGCCTCCAACTCTTACCACAGGCCAGTTGCTCTCAACTGTGACAAGTCACTTACCCTTCAGAGCCTCTCTTTCTGCTGCTGTAAACCAAGGAGGGCTTGAATGGTGAGGGCTGTCCAATCAATGACTGAACGTCTCAGGCTCCTCAGTGATGAAATGAGAGTACTTAGGCCTGCTTCCTGGGGCTAGTGGTGGATATTAAATAGGGTGGTGGTGTTAAGCCCCTGGCACGTGGTGGGCATGCAACGCATGCAGCCATGAAGGATACTTTCCTTATCTTTAGCACTTTACAGTGTCTAGCACAAAGTAAGCACCCAGCAAAAGATGCTCTTCTTTATTCTTGTAGCTCAGAGTTCTTTCACCTCTAAGACTACAAAAGCTCTCTCCAACTATGCAATTTTTATAATTAAGTATTTATTTCTTCTCCCCCAGCCCTGTGCCCATCCTGCTGTGATTCAGGAGTCTCGCAGAAGACATCAGAATGCCTTTCTCTGAGTCACAGTCTGTATCTTCTAGAAAAGGCTGTCCATCTTCACCCCAAGCCCACTGGCTCCTGAGATACGACATCCAGACCCAGTGCAGCTGGACCTGGCCCAGGTAAGCCAGGCTTCCCAGGGTCCGATCCCAAGCTTGCAGGGTTGGGTGGGAAGCTGGACCCAGGCAGCCCCACCCCGTCCAAGCTTCTCCGGATGTGGGTACAGAGATTACAAGGCCTCCAGCCTCCTCAGAGGAAGTACCCTTCCTCCTCTGCCCTGTGGGCAGACTGGACTTCTCTAGCAGCTGCAAGAGACTGCAAGATTGTTATTTGAGGTGGCTAAACTCTCACCAAGTATTCTTCTCCTCACTGCCTCCTCCACCTGCCCCTCCAATTTCCCTCTTCCCTTCCCAGCCCTTTTTCCTTCCTCCTCCTCCACTCCTCCTCCTCCTCTTCCTCATACCCATTCTCTCCTCCTGTTCTTCCCTACAGCTGTGCTTTTGACCCAAGTGACAGTCTGCTTATATTCCTAAGGGGAGAGTCCCAGCCAAGGGGAGAGAGATTGGCTCCTCTCTGTGGCTTCACGCCTCCCCTCTCAGTCCTTCCACAAAGATGTTCTGGTGGCCTCTGGCATATGAGGCCACCAGAACATCTGGCACTGGGCCAGCACCTAAGGGGCATAGCCAGGGGCTTGCACAGAGCTAGTTAGCCTGCTGGCCTGGGCCAGGCAAGCACACTTGGTTGGTTGGGTTGCATATTAACAAGGTGTCACTTCTGGCCACCTTCTTTACTGTCTCAAGGTCTTGCATGCACGCTCTGTTTCTAGAGTCATTTCACTGTGTCCCCAACAACTATTGTAACAACATATTACCTTAACTTCAACTAGCAGGTGCCACTTTGGGAGAATGTGGTTTTTTGTTTTTTGTTTTTTGTTTTCTTTTTGACGAAGTTTCACTCTTGTCGCCCAGACTGGAGTGCAATGGCATGATCTCGGCTCACTGCAACCTCCACCTCCTGGGTTCAAGCAGTTCCTCTGCCTCTGCCTCCCGAGTAGCTGGGATTACAGGCACCCACCACCACGCCTGGCTAATTTTTTGTATTTTTAGTAGAGACGGGGTTTCACTATGTTGGCCAGGCTGGTCTCGAACTCCTGACCTCGTGATCCGCCCGCCTCAGGCTCCCAAAGTGCTGGGATTACAGGCGTGAGAAAAAGTGTTTTAGAAAAGAGGTTCCTCCTGTTTCTCTCTATCCCCTGCCCACCAGGAAAGAGAAGCAGCGCTTTTTTGTTTGTTTGTTTGTTAGTTTGTTTGTTTGTTTTTGTTGCTGTTGTTGTTCTTTTTTGAGACGGAGTCTCACTGCATCACCCAGGCTGGAGTGCAGTGGCATGATCTTGGCTCACTTCAACCTTTACCTCCCAGGTTCAAGTGATTCTCCTGCCTCAGCCTCCCGAATAGCTGGGATTACAGCTGCCTGCCACCACGTCAAGCTATTTTTTGTATTTTTAGTAGAAACAGCGCTTCACCACGTTAGCCAGGTTGGTCTTGAACTCCTGACCACAGGTGATCCGCCCACCTTGGCCTCCCAAAGTGCTGGGATTATAGGTGTGAGCCACTGCACCCGGCCAAAAAGCAGCACATTTAATGGCACAAGTGGCCAAATGAGTAACGGGGCCACCCAGCTAACATAGCTGGCTTGAGTATGGAGTACTGGCAAGGAAGGATGTCAGGAGAGGAGGCTGGAGACCCAGCATGGGCCAAATCATGCCAGCAGCCACCACTGGAAGCCATTGCCCCTCGCATTCTGCAGCAAGGACTGCCTCTAGGAAGATATGGAGGCTGGGCTAGAGAATGGAGAGAAAAGCAGCAGGCAGACCCAGAGGAAAACAGTGACAATTCTTCTGGCCCCATCGAGCCTCTTTAATCCCAAATCTTTTCTTCCAAGCCACCCCTGACTTTACAAATCTCAAGGGTTCTAAGAGGCATGTGTTCATTCCCAAGCCACTTCTATACTCACCTGTGCCTTGCTGCCTGAGTGACCTTAGATAAGTCCTTTAGCCACTCTGGACATATTTTCTTTGCATGTAATCAGAAAGAAGGTGTGTGTGTGTGTGCATGAGAACACACACACACAACCACCAAAGGGTGGTTACAAAGCTTTAATAAATAAGACAATGTTACAAGGAAAGCACAAGCAGTTCTCTTTAGCTCGCCTTCAGCTGCTATTCCCATTCTACGAGGGGAAATCCTCACCCGGAAAACCTTGTTCACACTGGCACAGGTCCCAGGGCGTGAGCCCCTGTGGAGGCTGGGTCTCTCCCTTTCCATTTCCCTTGTTGACTTCCAGCGCGACTGTTGTTAGCTCGCAGATGGACAGGCAGTGCTCCATGACTTGCCAGCTGCCAGGCTGAATCTGCCTTGGTTCCCTAGGAGAACAAGCCTGATATCAAGGATGCAAAGGGGGCCATGGGGCCTCTGCTCAAGGCGGGAATCTCGGGTGTCTACACAGAGTCAGACAAGGGCTTGTGTTTAGGCTGCAGCTTCGAGATAACCTGCCACCTCCAGAAAGCCTCCCAGCAAGATAGAAGTTGGTGAGGTGACCTGGGAGTTAGGAAAGAGCAAGCAACAGGGGAGGAGAGGGAATCCCAGGAAGAGAGATGGAGCTTCGCAAAGGCACAAAGGTGTGAACGAGCAGGACAGGTTTGCAGTTCGTGGCCGCTACTGCCCTGAACACAGCTTCTCTGTTAATTAGTCACATTTTTGCTTTGATCATTTCTTCTCCCCAACTGCCCCATCCCCATCAACTGCCAATTTTCGTGCAGATTCTACCATCTTGTGGGTCTCTAGTATCCATTTCCTCTTCTCTACCCCTATGGCCATTGTCTGGGACACATAGCTCTTCTGGCCTAGACTAATTAGAACAGTTTTCTAACCCATCTCCTTGCCTCTAGTTTCTCCCACCTTCCAATCCATCCACCTCATAGTTGCCAAAATAATCTTTCTGACTGTGTTCCTTTTCTGCTTAAGTCCTTCAAGGACACCCCATCAACTCTGGGACCAATTCTGTAGCTTAGGACTCAGAACTTCCATAAGCTGATCCCATTGTCTTCCTCTCCTGCTTAATTTCCCAACAAAACCTACACATACCCTGAGTTATTACCACACTAACTATCAGTTCCCCCAAATAAGGCGTACAGTTTAATGCTGTCTGTTGCTCTTCCTTTTACCTGGAATTCCCTCCACCCCTATCTTTCTGGCTAACTCCTACTCCTTCTTCAGAACCCAGCTAAGGAATCACCTCCTCTAGAAAGGTTTTTCTGACCCCTCCTCTGTGCTCTCAGAGCCTGACAGCACATATATCTCTAGTATCAAGGTTCTTAGGGCTGGAATTCAGGAGCTTTGTGAATCTGTATGGGGGAAGAAATGTTCACTAACTTGTACATAAAATTAATTTAACATTTCCTTCAATTACAAATGTAGGCTCAAATCACAGTGATATCAATGGTTCCTGTAATTTATTACTAATAGAAATCATAGTTATGTTCATACCACTTTACAGTTGTTACAGATTATCTAAAAATTGTATCTATGATTATCAATATTTTGAAAATAAAATAGTTAATAGACCTATAGATCTGGTTACTCAGTGTACAAATATGAAACCACATACATTATTACCAATTTATTTTTTTCTGTATTTTGTTAACTTTTGAAAAATAATTGCTTTCTTTACCATTGTATGTGCTTAATTTTATGCATTTTAAAATGTTATTCTGAGAAGAGGCCCAAGGGCACCATCAGACTGTCCAAGGGCTTCCCAGCATGAATGGTGACACCTTCTCTGGCATAATGCTCTTAAATCCCCACTGTAACTGTTGGTTTATCTTGTTCTCCTCTGTCAATAGAGTGTGTGCATCTTGAAAGAAGGGGGCCCTCTTTTTACATGCAAGACTTAATGCAGTGCATGGCACCTAGCATATTCCTAGAAATATTTTTTGAAATAAATACATGCAGGCAAAAAGGAAGAAAAGAAAGGAAGGAGGAAGGGAAATAGAAAATTTGATCTTCAAAGGCCATCTGCTCTTCCCTCTGCCTTGGACACTCTACTCCCAGCTGTGACTAGCTATCCTGCCTCCTCTATGCCTCTGTAACTCTAGTCTACTCTGTGACTCGACTCTACTCTCACTCTACTCTGTGACTAGCTATCCTGCCTCCTCTATGCCTCTTCTCTTATGTGATCTTCCCAGGGGGACCATCCATAGCACTGTATTTAAAATTACAGTTCCACCCCATGGGCATGCTCTGTCCCCCTTCCCTGCTCTGTCTTCTTAACACTTAGCACCATCAGACACACCATGTGTTTCTGACTTCTTACTTATTAACTCCTTGCCTCTCCTCACTAGAATGTAAGCTTCATGAGGGCAGGGACCTTTATCACATTCATTCATGTCTGTATCCCTAGTACCTGATAGAGCACTCAACAGATAATAAGCATTAAGTAACTTGAACGGGTCAATGGAAGCAAGCAAGTGGTGAAGGCCCATCAGTTAGCAGGAACCCCATTCTGTTGGGAGAGGTTGAGGGCTGTCAGGGTCGGTGGCAGAGCCAACTGGCTATGGGTGAATGGTGGGAAGAAGCTTGGGTTGTTTGGATTGGGCATGGTCGGAAGGACCTGGCACCATGACTGGGGAGTTGGACTCCATGGTGTGCCTGTTTTCAGTGGAGAAATGACAGAGTCCCAGGAAGGCTGATCTGAGCCCGGGAGAAGGAGTGGGGTGCAGCATGGAGGCTCACAGGGAACACATCTCATCTCAAGACCATTGGTGTTGGATCAACAGCCTAGATTTGGGAAACTCCTGACACCTTATTTTCCTCAGTGTCTGGGAAAGCCAAAGCCTGTTCCCTTGTGAGGCCTGACAGCTCCAAGACCTCGGAAAGATTCAGGAACCACAACGAGTATGCCCCCTGGATTCCTCCCAGCTCTGTGTGCAAACCTCTGCCACAGAGCTTACTCAGTGAGGTGGTGGTGTTCTTCCTCCACCAGGCAGCGAGCTCTCTGATGACAGCACTACCTCACAGTCTTCAGTCGTTGGTAGTACAAGGCCAGGACTGACACAAAGTACATTTTCAGAGACCATTTATTGATGGAAAAATTGTGATTAGAAAATCACAGATGTGATAGTGATCATTCATTTGAATCACGAGGAGAGTAATGAACTTTGAGCTCCTACTGTAACCAGGTACTGTGCTGGCTACCTGAGCCACAGAACTGAATCAAATGGGGCCCCTCATCTCCAGGAGCCTGTGGCAGAGGAGGAAGCTCAACATAAAAATGGGTAATAACAACAGAGTGTGCCAAGGATTGAGGGACCACACTTAGGAAACCCGCCCCTCACCCAGTCTTCTGGTACTTACCAAACTAAATTACATTATTATTTAATTACTTGTACTCCGTCTTCCCATAAGAATATAAGCAATGAGAAAAGCTTTGTATTGTTCACTGCTCTCCTCCTAGCACATAGTAGCTGCTCACTTGGGAAGTCTCAGAGGGGCACTGGTGTAGGTTTGATAAATATCTGTGAATATGTGCATGGCTTGAGGAAGCACAGAAAGTTGCATGTGCCTAGCTCAGTCCACAGATGGGAGCCACAGAAAACTTCCAGCAAGAAGAGGCCTTGGCCAGGAACACGGCGTTCCAAAGCTCACACCCTTCAGCATTCCCCATTTCATGACTTCTTCACAACTCAGCGAAGTAACACCCATTTTATGAATGAAGAAACAAATCTCAGAGACAGGAAGAAGCTTGGTAAAGGCCACTCAGCTGGGAGAGCAGGGCCCACATCTTCTGCTGAAAGTCTATGCTTTTTCCACACTGTTCTGCCTCTTGCCAACACATAACGAGGACTCCTTGTGGCAAAGGATGACTTGCTGTCCATGCAGGTTCTGAGGGGGTGAGAGACCATTCCCAAGGAATGGAGGGGGCTGGGTCCAGAGACAGATCATCATCTCCAACATCAGCAGCTAAAGGAATGCACTTTCCCAGAAGCTCTACACAAGTTCACCCATTCTTCATAATCACCTGGTACTGGAGATTCAATTATTGTTCCCAATTTACAAATGAGCAAACTGAGGTACTATTAGGTAATTTTCTTAGATCACACTGGTGGTAAGGAAAGTGTCTGGGGTTCAAACCCACACAGTTGATCTCAGAGCCTACACTTTTAACCATTTTGTCTCCTGCCTCAATAGAACATGCCCAACTTGTCCAACTCTGGGAGGCTGCTAGAAACTTCCCAGTTAAGCACTCTTCATGTTTTAGACATGATACTGGGTACTCTGAGGAAAAGCTACAAAGAATAACTTTATAAACTTCCTGCCTTCAAGAAGTTGCCGACTCAGAAGACATAAGAAATCAATGAAACTAAAATGAAAGGTACAAAGTAAGTGCACTGGGGATAGGACATTTGAGCTGGGCCTTGTAAATTAAAGAGAGAATGGTGCTCTAGGAACAGGTCGCAGCATATACCACCTCATCCAGGCATGGCAGTAGACTCCAGGTTAGGGAAACATCAAATCAATTTGTGTGTCTGGGGAACAGAGGGTATAGGGTGAAGACAGGGGCAAGTCAAAGGAGAATTGGGCTCCAGATCCTGGAGAGTTTGAATTAATACAGTAAATACAGAATTTGCTCACTGTTTAGTTGATACTGACCTATCAGAGGTGGGGAAAAAAGGAAGTAATATAACCTGACCTGCATTTTAGGAAGATCATGCGGTTTCTGGGAAGCACTGGAGAAGGAAAAGGCTGAAGAAAGGAAGACCGGTGAGTCATTTAGCTCTTTCTGCAAAATCAGCCACCCCATAACCTAGAGGCCTAAAATAACCACTGTCTTATTATTGTTCACAAGTCTAGGAGTCAGTGGGCAGCTCTACAGTCAGCTACCTGCTCACGTGTTTGGTGGGTACTGGATGGGGCAATGGAGATGACTGGGGCATGTGTCTCTTATTACCTTGGGCTTCTTCTCATGGTAGATGGTTGCCAGGTTACCAAGAAAAGCAAGAAAGAGCAAGCCCTGATGCACACAAGTTCTTTTCAAGCCTCGGCTTATGTCATCTTTCTTAGTGTCCGTTGGCCAAGCACAGATTCAAAGGGTGGTGCAATAGACAGCATTTCTTGACGGCAAGAACAGCAAAGTCATATAACAAAGGGGTGTGGGCCGGGCGCGGTGGCTCACGCCTGTAATCCCAGCACTTTGGGAGGCCGAGGCGGGCGGATCACGAGGTCAGGAGATCGAGACCATCCCAGCTAAAACGGTGAAACCCCGTCTCTACTAAAAATACAAAAAATTAGCCGGGCGTAGTGGCGGGCGCCTGTAGTCCCAGCTACTTGGGAGGCTGAGGCAGGAGAATGGCGTGAACCCGGGAGGCGGAGCTTGCAGTGAGCCGAGATCCCGCCACTGCACTCCAGCCTGGGTGACAGAGCGAGACTCCGTCTCACAAAAAAAAAAAAAAAAAAAAAAAAAAAAAAAAAAAAAAAAAAAAAAAGGATGTGCATAGGGATGGGATGAATTTGGGGTTGTTTTTGTTAGGAGGCCATTTTTGTAATGGGCCAAGCAAGAATTAATAGTTGCTTAACCTAGGAGATGGCAGAAGAAACGGAGAGATGATTAGAATATATTTGAGACATATTCAGGAGAATGATTATGAGGGAGAGGAAAGAATTCAGGATACCTCATGGGTTTTTGGAGAGAGTAACTGGGCAGATGGTTCTTTGTATCAATGAAGAGAACCAAAAAAAGAAGCAGGTTTAGGAGTTGTAAACACATTCCAGCTCATATGATTCTGCTGTGGTCCATGAACGTGCTACCTTCCTTTCTTAGAGAAATGTTCTTTTTCCAAACCTCCCTCCACTCTGACCACGTGTCCACATGGAAAGTGAGATCATTTGCATGACCCTGCCTTTCTAACAGTAGTAATTGGCCAGGTGTAGACATCTGATTCGAACTGGGAGTGCCCAGCCCCACATCCACTGCCAGCCAGGTCCGCCATGTACAGTTGTGCAGGTTATGCCCTGTAGAAGCTTGTCTGGCAGGGATAATAAGTGGGGACTGGAATCCAGCCTGTGCTCTGCAGGGCAAGCTTGCACCTGTGGAGGTGCAGACACTCAGAAGATAGTGCCCTCTTCTAACTCCCACAGAGGTGTTCTTTGCTGCCAACCCCAGTGGCTGGTCCAGGGGCAGGCCCATATGCCACACTAGGTAAATTGGAGTTCTCTAGGAATTATGACATTGCAGCACATGGGAAAGAGGTTTTTTCTACTCTGACCCCAAAACTGTATAGATAGGAGTGTGTAGCATCCACATCCCTGTGATACTGAGGAAACTGCTGAGAGAGAATGAGGCCAGTACATCAATGAACTCAGAAGATGGAGGTGTAAGAGAAAGAGAGCTGTCAGAATCAGAGCACCCCGTTCCAGCCAACTCTGCCATTCCTGGGGCTTGGTAGTTTGGTTTCTCCATCAGTTCTTTGATTTTCCCTATATTCTTCTCATTTAAAATCTCCTTTTTGGCTTATGCAAGTTCAAGTTGGGTTTTTGCTCCTTGTAACCAATACAATCTTGCACAATAAAGTAAAGAAGTTCATGTGTTCAGATTTGGAGAGGAGGAGATTGGCATGAAAGACAGGTCAGAGGGTGAATTGAAAGAATGTGGTGACCAGTTTGCTGAGAGTCACATGAGAGAAGGGGTGTCCTGGGGAAGTCCTGGGCTTTTGGCTTGAGAAACTGTAGAGGGATGAGGATCTCAGCAGAAGTAGGCAATCCAAAAAATAAACTATGTTGGAGGGAGGGAAAATGCATTCTTCCATTTATTCATTGAACAATTGTTCCCCAAGCCTTGTCTAGGCACTGGGGACTCAGCAGTGGATACGGTGAACTTAGATTCAGATATTATCTGTAGGACATCATTGACTATTTATTCAACAGTGAGCACCCACTCTAGGCCAAGCATTGTATCTAGAACTGAGCATAAATCCAGGCAGTGATGTCCAGCAGGCAGCTGGAAAGAGGGTGGAGCTGGCATTTCTGTTGTAAGCATCATCCCCATGGGGATAATTTTGGAAGTTGTGGGAGAGAGCACTTGGAGAAGAAAAGTCTAGTTCCATAAGCCTTGTCCATCATGCCTCAGCTTCATTCGTGGGCTGGGAACACAGTGTTTCTTTGGCTTGTATGGCTGAGAGGCAGACGCAGAAAGAGCGTGAGTGGAAGAGCCCAATCTGGGGCCAGCCTGGGGTCACACAACAGCCCTACCAGGTAACTGTGTGTATGACCCTGACTGAGTCGGCTACTCTCTCAGAGCCTCAGTTTCCTCAGTTTCAGCAGAAAAACAGGAATGCTTATCCCTCTGTTAAGAAAGAATATTTGTAAAAGTGTATTCATTCAACCACAAACAGGTATTGAACACCAATATGTGCCATGTTCCAGGGTAAAAGCCTCAAATGGGAGTATCAGAGCCATCATCTGGGAGGGATATATAAATCTTTGTGGCTGCCATACCTGGCTTCTGCTGCACCTAAGGCTGCCAATCTGACCCTGTCCACCACCAATCAACACCAATCTGCCCCTTCCCCAGCCCATCTGAAAAGCAATATTTTTGTGATTAGTAAAGAAAGAGAAAAACGAATGTTGTGCTGTCCTCTGGAGAGCTGGTTTCCAGAGCGGCAGAAAAAGGGCCCACGTGAACCATGCTGTTCTTGGCAGCCACTGCGCTGTTCCTCACAGCCAGAGGCTTAGAGCTTTATTTGTGGTTTGAGTTACAAGCAGGGGTGAAAACCCCAGAAAAGTGGGGGGAAGGGAGAAAACATTTTAAAAGTCGAGAAAATTGCCCTGTATTCTCAAGTGCAGGCAATTTGTCCAAACACCTGAGCTCTGTAGAATCCTAGTGGTCTGACTGTGGTTTTATATTCTGGGGCTCTGGGCCCAGTGTCAAGGGCGGGGGACATTTTTTCATACATTAAGAAAATCACAAAATCACTTTTTACAAGATATTAATGAATACCTTTACTGCTTCAATGGTGACATTGTTGGAGGTTTTAAAAAAACTCCAGGTTAAGGTTTGGGGGTGATTTTGTTTTGAAGGCTGCTACATAAGGTATTTCACAGTCATTAAATAGGAGATTTAGATGTTGACCCCAGGATCCCGTGCAGAGGACACTAAACATTTTAGAGATAGAAGAGCCCTTTAAGATCTTTAAATTCAACCCTCTCCTTACACCGATGATAAAAACAAGGCCCAGAGGAAGTAAGAAATATGTTCAAGGAAACGCAGCAAGTTTGTGGTAGAAGCAAGTCCAGATTCCAGGACCCGAAGGTCTTTGTAGCAGCCTTTGCAGCAGCCTGGAGGTGACATTGGGCCTCAGAAACCATGACTGGCCTCCCCCTCATGTTGACATTTCTGCGGCAGTGACTTTGAAAGCTGCCTTTTATGGCTCTGGCTTTGGAAGGGCAAACACTGTTATCAGTAAAACAACACAGGTGCTTTCTAGAGTTGGAGCCAGGTGGAGCCAAGCAGGAAGGGAGACCCCTTCGCACAGGCAGACATGACCCAATCACCTGTCTGGTTCAGAAGGGTGCAAAGACCCTCCTTGGGGAGTGGAACAAGAGGCTTCTGTGGTGGTGAAGGGCATGGCTTGGGGGCCAGACAGGATAGCTTCAAGTCTCAGTGACATGGCTGGCTAACTGCAACCTCAACAACCTCCCTGACTGAGCGTCAGTTTCCTCAGCTATAAAACAGGGATGTTGATGGCTCAGTCCTATGACTGAGCATATTCCAAGTGCTCAATAGCACATGTGGCTAGTGGCTACTGTATTGTACAACACAGATACAGCATTATCACAGAAAATCCTATCATGCAATGCTGGTAGGGGCTCTGGGCTCTTGACATTAGTTCTTGATCTCACTCACTACAGCTACTGAAAACAGAAGACTGGTCCAAGTGAGGTCTCCAGCTCTAAGGGCTCGGATTCACGGCAGAGATCCACGGTTCCTGGCTCCTCTCTCTAGCCCTTAGTCCTCTCTATTACTGCAAGGATTTGGCTTCAAGGTTGGAGCCTGGCTCACTGCCTTTCTTATGCTTCCTAAGCAGAACCCCAGGGTGAGAGGATGTGTGTGTGAGGGGAAGAGGCTGGCCAATGCCTCCTGTAAAGGTAGGTGTCCAGAGTCTGAAAGCCTTGGGTTCAATTCCTGGCTCACTCACTCAGATGTTAATGGCTCCAGGTAAGTCACTGAACCTCTCGGAGCCTCAGTTCTCACATCTGGGCTTGCTCTAGTAAGGGGTAAAGAGGTAATGGAGGGAGAAACACTTTGGAATCTGTAAAGTACACTGTTCAGAATGAGAAACTTCTACAAGTAGATTGACTCTCCTTGCTCTGCCCCTTTCTTCACTAAAAGAGTATTTAGATAGAGGCAGATAGCTGCCTTAGAATATAAGCAAAAAGATGTTTTATTTAGAGACATTTTCCAGACATCTGGAGATGAGAAGAACTTGGTATCCCAGAGACACCCTGGAAGAGTCCCCTAAAGGAGAATGGGAAAAGGAAAACATTCTCTGAACACCTATTATATTTTAGATACTGTGACAGTCCCTTTCATATATAAAGAGTGGCAATGATGATGATGCTGGCTAACAAGAAAGTTGAGTGCCCACTGTGTGACAGGTACCCTTTTGATTGCTTTACATATATTATCCCCATTTTACAGATGAGGAAGCTGAGGCACTGCAAAGTAAAAACAAATTTCCAAGGTCACCCTAAGCTAAGGTTTAAATTGCAGCAGCCAGAGTCGCAGGGCCATGTGCACAGCCGTCTCTCCACACTGCGTTCAGTCTGCACATTGTTAGTCTCATGTAACACCACCTGCCACTTTCAGATAAGGAACTGAGCCTCAGGAAGATTACGTTACTTGCTTAGGGTCACATAGAGGGGAGAGAGGAGGTTCATTGAGTGTTTTGCTTTTTTTCTTCTTTCTTCAAAAATATTTCCTTCTTTGGCTATCTTTTTGACTAGAACAAAGGCATTGTTGATTCAGTTCGCGTCTGAATCTTGCTTCCTATTATTTCCTCACTTGAGTCCTAGGTTCCCCTTAGGATCAGACAGAAGAAGTCTACTGCCTTGTTCATAGGGAAATCTCTGAAATACCCAAAGCCTATCCTCCCAACATGTTTGCTTCTTTTCTTCTTCAGGAAAAGAAATACAAGTCCTTCCGCCTTGGCAAAGATGATAGTACCGTTCCCTTCAGTGTTCCGGTTCTGCTCTATTGGATAAGTTCCGGTTTGACTATGACTACGTGAAAATGTGGAACCAGACCTTCACCCCACATTCCAGCTCCAGCTCTACCACAGAGGAAGTGCAATATCACCTTAGTTATTCAACACATTATGCTCCTCGTGATACAACCAGAGTTCACATCAGCAATCTTGGCAGCTCTCACCACGCTGCTGACTCACGACTCTCTCATGTCCCAATTTCCTGTCCATTGTTCTTTCCTCTACTTGGCCTGATTTCTAAAGGCCTCTCTTGGTTGCATTAAGCGGGATTCCTGAGGGATTCCCTTGGCAGTTACCTTGGGGGAGCTCTTAGGTTTGGGGCTGATCCATGTCCTCTAAATGTAGGACTTCAAAGCTCCCAAAGATAGGCAGGCCCAGTGGGAAGCTGGGAAATGCTCTCTGACCCCTCTGGGAGGGCTGGCAGTCAGAGGGCCTTTTGGAAAGAGTCAGACCTGATCCATAAGTCCCTGGAAAACACCCTGCCCAGGGAGCAAATGCCACTGTGGCCTTGACTGAGGCTTCAGAAGAGTTTGGGAGCTGCAATTCATCCACACACGCATTCATTTTCAAGTAGTGGTTTGCAGTTCAGGCTTTGGAGCCACATAAGCCTGGCTTCAAAGCCACTTTCCAGCTTTGTAGGAAGTCTCTACATTTTTAAACCTCCATTTTTTTTTCCTGTAAAACTGGGGTCTTCATGGTACTTAACTTCATCGTGATGTTGAGAGAATGAAAAGAAAAAGGATAAATAAATGGCTTAGCCTCGTGCCTTGGCACATATTGTGATTGTTTCTTCACGTCTTTGTTCTCCTGGTGAAGCATTTATTCAGCAAGTGTTCACCAAGAGGCTGCCGGGGCAGCTGGGCGCTGTGGCGGAAAGAACACAGATGCTAATAAAAGCCTGAGCACAGGATCAGGCTCTGTGGGTAAAGATGCTCCAGTGGACCAGCTGAACACTTTACAGGAGACTCGTTCTGGCTCTGCATTTGGACGGCTGAGCTCCCACCCACTTCATCCCCCACCCGCAGCACACACACCAGCTTCTGGGCCATTTCTGAGTTGGGAGCTTCTCAGATTACGCTCAGTGTGACCTTGGGCAAATCCCATCACTCATCTCAGCCTCTGGCATATTTCCTATAAAACAGAGATAATAATACCCACCATACCAAGTTTTTGTAGTAGATTAACCAACAGCAAATGTGAAGTGCCCAGCGAAGCCCAGCATGTGGTTGATGCTCCACAACTTCTAGCTCCATTCCCCCCACCACACCTTCCATAACCGTGTGCCAAGCTTGGGCTAGATGCTGGTGGTCAACAGATTAAAAGAAGCTAGACCTGCCTGCAGGGAATTTAAACTTTAATGGGGGAAATAAACATTTGAACTTCTATCCCAGAGAAAGAGCGCTAAGGGCTGTGATGAAATTATGTCTGAAGGGTTATGGAACACCAGGAAGGGCAAATCGCTTTGCCAGTTTGGCCCTCAGTTTCCTTGTGTGTCAAATGAATGAAATTGGTTACTACCCCATGTGAGATGACTTAAGTGAGTTAGTGAGTGTGCAACTACATGTCGGAAAGTTTAGTTCTGTGCTAGTGCTTCTATTTACTTATCTGTTTCCCCATTAGAACTTCATCCCCTTGAAGGGGATGTCTTCTAAGCCTATGTCTTATTCATTCCTCTGTCCCCAGCACACTGGCATAGAACTGGTGCCCAGTCAACATCTGTTGAGTAAACAGATAAAATGACTTATTATCTAATTTTATCCCCCAAGACCCCAGAGAGATACACCATCCTATAGATGGAGGAAAAACTGAATACAGAGTTCAGTGAGTGGCCTGGCAATCAGTGGCTAAGCCAGGCATCTTGGAACCTGTGGTGATGACCTTTCTGCTAGATTTCACAACACAGGCCACTCTGGTTCGGGTGGGATGACATTGCTTTCCTGGACATGACTCAGCTTTCCCTGGGGGTCACTGAACCCAGCCATCAGCCTTCACACTGAGTCATGGGCTGAGGTGAACTTCAGACCTGAGGAGGGAGCAGGGCTGCCCTGCCAGGTGGGTGTGCCCAGGGATCCCTCAGTCCAGCTGAGCACACCACCTGGGAAATCCTTCATGGGGTGAAGATGGGGCGGGGACAAGGATGTCACACCAGATCCACACCCATCTCCCACAAGAGCGTCTAAAGAGCAACACCTATCCCGTCACTGTGACTGGTGGGCTCTGACTCAGAGGTGCCCCTTCTCCATCCCCAATGTCACGTCCTCAGCATTGACTCCAATCATCTTTTGTTCTGCCTGGACTCCTAGCCTCCACTCTATCAACCTTCTTTTCAAAGAAGTTAAGTGATTTGCCATAACCACACATTATGAATATCATGTACTTATGTTCAGAAATTCTTGACTGGCTCCCTACTACCTGGAAAATAAAATCTAAACCCCTGGCTCAGCACTCAAGGTCCTCTTGCTGAAGCCTCAGCCTACTTTTCCTGTTTTTTTCCTCTGTACACCCTTGAATCCTTCATTTTAGATCAGTCTGTGTGTTGCCATTCTACAGAGTTGCCCTTTACTTTCCCTTCTCCTTGCCCTTGCTAATATACTAACTCACTTTCATCTGGAATGTCCTTCCCATGTCTTATCCATTCTTCGGATCTGAGCTTAAAATCCGCCTTATTCAGGAAGCCCTCCCAGATCTCCTCAGCCCAAACACTGGGATAATGCCAGCTATGTTTATTGATAATTTCTGTTGTGCAAATTGTTATGATCAGTACTTTATATGCTTCATTTCAGTTGATATTTCCAGCAGCCTTATAGCTAAATGAGTATTTATTACCCCATTTTATAGATGTGGTAACTGAGACTCAGAGAGGAGAGCTAACTTGTCCACACCTACATTCCTCTTGAGATTCAAAGGCCAGTGTGCCTGACTCCAAGTTGCTCCATGACTTTGGTTCGTACTTCCAATGTTCTTTGCACCTCTTTGAGGTACTCATGTTGTTGGGTGTTGTATTTTCCTAGGGGACTCATCCACTCAGTTCTACTGTGATCTTCCTGAAGACAAGTGAGTAGCTCTGTATGTAGTGTCTGACATAGACTGGGCTGTGAGGCAGAAAGCAAGAGCGAGAGAGTGAGAGTTATGAAGCACCGCCATGTGCTAGTCCATGCTAGTTACCATAAACATACATACATAGCTTTTAAGTGTTGTTAGTCTCATTTTACAGAAGAAACAGAGGCACAGAGAGGCTAAATAACTTGACAAAATCTATGAGAAAAAAAGTGGGGTAGACCTACATGGAATCATCTCAAAAATATAACATTAAGTGAAAAACACAAAAAATGGAGTGCCTGTTGGCATCATGTGCTCTCATTAGGGAAAATAGAAACATATTAAAACATATATATGCTTGTTTATGCTGAGACTGCTTTAGGGACACAGAAGAAACTGCTTCGGGGAGGTGACAAAGGAGGGCCTTAGAGGAATAGAGACTGGAGGGTTGAGGGAGACTTATTTTTTTAATCATCTAACAGTTTGAGTTTAAATAGGTATTTTTAGTTATTTGCATGTATGTCTTTCTCAAAAATAAAATTTGCTTATTTAAAATATGGATTCATGAAAATTTTTGAAGATCAAACATTCCAAAAAGAATTTAGCCTTGGGCTTTTCTGGCTCCAGGAATCTTTATATTATAACCATCTCATTTCTGACATACAGGCATACCTCGGACATATCGTGGGTTCAGTTGCAGACCACAGCCATAAAGCGAATATCACAAGACAGTAAGTCACACAAATTTTTATCTTCTCAGTGCATATAAAAGTTATGTTTATACTATACTATAGTCTTTTAAGTGTTCAATAGCATTATGTCTTTAAAAACACTGTATATACCTTAATTAAAAACTACTTTATTGCTAAAACAAAAAAAAATGGTAACCATCATTTGAGCCTTCAGTGTGTTGTAATCTTGCTGGTGGAGAATCTTGCCTTGATGTTGATGGCTACTGACTCATCTTAGTGGTGGTGGTTGAAGATTGGTGTGGCTGCAGCAATTTCTTAAAATAAGGCAACAGTAAAGTTTACTGCATCGACTGATGTTTCCTTTCATTCCATCTCTGATGACAGATTTCTCTGTAGCATGCGATGCTATTTCATAGCATTTTATCCACAGTAGAATTTTTTCAAAATTGGAGCTAATCCTCTCAGGTCCTTCCATTGCTTTATCAACTAAGTTTAGGTAATATTCTAATCCTTTGTTGTCATTTCAACAATGGTAACAGCATCTTTACCAGGAGTAGTTTCCTTCTCAAGAAACTACTTTCTTTGCTCATCCATAAAAAGCAACTCCTCATTCATTCAAGTTTCATTATGAGATTGCAGCAATTCAGTCCCATCTTCAGCCTCCACTTCTAATTCTAGCTCTCTTGCTATTTTTGCCACATTGCAGTGATTTCCTCCACTGAAGTCTTGAACCTCTCAAAGTAATCCATCAGAGTTAGATTCTACTTCTGCCAAACTCATATTAATGCTGATATTTTGACCTCCCATGAATCACAAGTGTTCTTAATGGCACCAAGAATGGTGAATCCTTTCCAGAGTGTTTTAAATGTACTTTGCCCAGATCCATCAGAGGAATCACTATCTATGAAAGCTATAGCCTTATGAAATGTATTTCTTAAATAATAAGACTTGAAAGTTGAAATTACTTCTTGATCCATGGCCTGCAGAATGGATGTTGTGTTAACAGGTATGAAAACATTTATCTTCTTGTACATCTCCATTAGAGATCTTGGGTGACCAGGCGAATTGCCAGTGAGCAGTAACAACTTGAAAGGAATCTTTTCCTGAGCAGTAGGTCTCAATGGTGGGCTTAAAATATTTAGTAAACCATGCTGTAAACAAATGCGCTGTCATCTAGCTTTGATGTTTCATTTGTAGAGCACAGGCAGAGTAGATTTAGCCTAATTCTTAAGGGCCCTAGGGTTTTGGAATTGGTAAATGAGCATTGGCTTCAACTTAAAGTCACCAGCTGCATTAGCCCTTAATAAAAGTCAATCTGCCCTTTGAAGCTTTGAAGCCAGGCATTGACTTCTCCTCTTTTGCTATGAAACATAGATGGCATCTTCTTCCAATAGAAGGCTGTTTCATTTACATTGAAAAGTCTGTTGTTTAGTGTAGCCACTTTCATCAATGATCTTAGCTAAATCTTCTGGATAACTTGCTGCAGCTTCTACATCAGCACTTGCTACTTCATCTTCCACTTTATGAGATTGAGACTTCTTTCCTTAAACCTCATGAACCAATGTCTGCTAGCTTCAAACTTTTCTTCTGCAGCTTCCTCACTCTCAGCCTCCATAGAATGAAAGAGAGTTAGGGCCTTGCTCTGGATGAGGCTTTAACTTAAGGGAATGTTGTGGCTGGTTTGACCTTCTATCTAGACCACTAAAACTTTCTCCATCTCAGCAATAAGGCTGTTTAACTTTCTTATGACTTGTATGTTGACTGGAATAGTGCTTTTAATTTTCCTCAGGAACTTTTCTTCCACATTCACAACTTGGCAAACTGTTTGGTGCAAGAGACCTAGATTTCAGCCTATCTCAGCTTTCAAGATGCCTTCCTCATTAAGCTTTATTATTTCTAGCTTTTGATTTAAAATGAGAGATGTGACTCTTCCTTTCACTTGAACATTTAGAGGCCATTGTAGGGTTATTAATTGGCTTAATTTCAACATTGTTGTGTCTTAGGCAATAGGGAGACCCGAGGAGAGGGAGGAAGATGGGGAATAGCCGGTTGGTGAATTATGTTCACCACCTTATATGGGAGCAGCTTGTGACACCTTAAAACAATGACAATAGTAACATCAAAGATCACTAATAGCAGATCACCATAACAGATATAATAATAATGAAAACATTTGAAATATTGAGAGAATTACCAAAATGTGACACAGAGGCGTGCCTGAAGTGAGCACATGCTATTGGACAAATGGCACTGATAGACTGCTCGGCGCAGGGTTGCCAAAAACCTTCAATTTGTTTAAAAAAAAATCTGCAAAGCACAATAAAATGAAGCTCAATAAAACTAGGCATGCCTGTAGTTGGAGAAAATCTTCATACATGGTATTATGAGAATTATGGTCAGCTGTATATGAAAGAAAACTCACAATCACTTAAATGTCAATAAGAATAGCATCACTTAAATGGCAATAAGAATAATATCAACCTCACGGTTGCTGAGTCGCTTACATAGCATCATTAGACATATGAAAAATTAATTTTGATAATATATGTGATATATAACCATGATGTTTAATTCTCTCACATAATAACAGAAGTCAAGATGGAAATAATCCTGGACTGAAATCCCAGATTCTTTCTAACTTGTTGTTGTGCCATCCTCAACATATGGCTCTGCCATCCTCAACATCCTAACTGGTCCAAGATGGCTGCTCCATTAAGCAAGAAGGATGAAGAGCAGGACAAAGGGTATGGCCTTGGCATTTAAGAACACTTCTCAGAAGTTGCAAACCCCACTTTTGCTTACATCTCATGAACCAGCACTTAGTTACCTGGCAATACCTGGCTGTAATGGAGCCCCGACATTGCAAGATTTCATTTTCAGCATCCACATGCCCAGCTAAAAATCAGGTGTTCTGGATGGGTACAGTGGCTCATGCCTGTAATCACAACACTTTGGGAGAGACCAAGGCAGGAGGATTGCTTGAGGCCAGGAGTTTGAGGCTGCAGTGAGCCATGATCATGCCACTGCACTCCAGCCTAGGCAACAGAGTGACATCCTGTCTCTAAAATAAAATTTTAAAAAATTAAAAAATAAATCAAGGGTTGTATTGTTAAGGAGGAAGGGGAGAGTAGTTATTTGGGAACAGCCAGCCTGTCTCTACCGCAGACATGAATGCTTTGCTTTCAGAATTTATCTGCCCTGCTCTCTAAAACTGATGTACTACTGGATATATTTCACATTTCTGACATACTCCTGGGCCCTCTATAGAGAACATTAAAACACATTGAGAGAAAACAACTAACTTCCCATTAAAGGCCCAATTTCTAAACCAAATCATCAATGGGCTTTCTCAGAAGGAAGGTCCAATTATATGATTCTGGGCAAATGAATTACCCTTCCTAAGTCATGTGAACTTGGGCAAGTCATTTACCACTCTAAGCCCATTGTGTATCACTTAAATGGCAACGAGAACAATATCTACCTCACAGAGTTGCTGAGTGGCTTTACAAAGCATCATGAGACACATGAAAAATTAATTTTGATAATATATGTTATTTAACCCAAAATATCCTAAATCTTTTCAACCTATAGCCATTTCAACCTATAACCAAAATCATTTAAACCTATAACCAATTTAAATTACTAATGAGATAAATACATTCCATTTTTCACACTAAGACTTTGAAATTTAGTGTGTGTTTTATCCTGACAACACAGATCAGTCACATTTCATGTGTTCTCTAGCCGCGGGTGGCTGCCAAGTTGGACCGGGCAGGTTGAGACTAATTTAAGTGTCCTTGCTGGGTGCTCCCTTAGCACCCTATACTTACAAGTGAAGAAGTCATCCTTTCTGTGGCAAATGTCCGTTTACTTGGTTTATCCACAAGCAATTCCCTTGAGGAGATGGAATAAGAGGTACCCCCAGGGCCTACATAGTACCTAGCACAGAGCAGACACTCAATAAATACTTGTTAAACAAATATTATTCATTTCTCTATCCCCAGTGCTCAGCCCAGTGCTTGACCCTCAGTAGGCATTTAATAAAGACTTACTAAATTAATGAAGTCACGACCCAACATTTTAATGGTAAGTGAATTTGCAATTTGACAGCAGGTGAAAACCTGGCAGTTTATTGCAGAGGAGACAATGGTACCTTTCTAACCCTCAAAGTAACACCTGCCGTTAAGTCAAATTTCCTTCACTGCCTCCTTTCTCCCAAACAGAACTGGAGCCAGATGGGAAGCCATGGGCCTTTCCATTCCAGTAAAATCGCACAATGCCTGGTCTGCAATGATAAGCAAGCATATCAAGTTCCCATGAACAAATAAAATTAACTTTCAGTGAGGGCCAAATTTCTCCATTTCACTGTATCTCTTTTTCTTATCAGAGTGTGCAAGGTAAGAGGCTCTGAAAGGTTGCCAGTCGCTGTCTGATTGAAATCTAGGGAGCTTTACAATAATGCTGATAGTAATTAAAACGATCAGACATTTCAACCTCAGCACTGCACCACCACTTACTAGTTAAATGAACTGAAGTAACTTATGTGTCGTCCATGAACATTCATTTTCTCATCTGTAAGATAGCCAGACTTATCTGGCCATGCTGCTGTGAGGACCCTGTAAGAACAGAGCTCCCCACACATGCTGGTGCTCAGTGAGTGGCAACTTGCATCATTCCCGCAGCAACCTGGCACGGCTCTCTGAATGGTATTTGCAAAGTGAGACTTAGCATTATTTTTGTCTTGACAATCAGCCATAGGCCAGATGATTTCCTTAAAGTTGTTTCGAGCTGCCCCCACCCCCTTTGTGGACAACTAAAACACAAACACTATTTAGAAAGATCTGGGCCGAGTCATTTCTTTGGAGCCTGGTGGCAGGCCAGGAGGCTGATCACAAAGGCAGCATTCAGCTGCAACAACAGCAGCCTGGTGGGCAGGGGCCTTGTCCCAAACATTCTTGACTAGGCTTCTTGGGGGAAGGTGTTACCGGCCTGCAAATATTTGTTGCTCTATTTCCATAGCAACTACAGTGGCCATAGTGAAACCCTGAAACTGCACATCGAAACTTGGGAGGTGCCGCAAAGCCAAGCCTGTTTGGGAGGAGGCTTTCTCCTGGACCCTTCCCTCCCCTAAAACTGAAGACTTTTCCAGGATTCTTTCAAAGGGCATTAAAGAGAAGCTATTGTGCCAGCTGCACACAGCCTACTGCCTGCTCTGAGGAAGATGTATGGGCAAAGACTGTTGCCAATTGCCCATGATAAGCTTTAAGAGACTTTAAGCCAAAATGAGTGCCTGCCTGTTTTCTGCAGAGCTTTTGCAGCATGGTGTGCTGAGTCTGGCTCTGGCACAGAACAGTAACACCACCTGTGCAACCTCAGGGAAGTTGCTCACTGTCCCTGAGTCTTTTCCTCAGCAAAAAATGCAATTAAGCCCAATTTAATAAACTCATATTGATGTCTACTCTGAGCTAGATGCTGAGATTACAAAGCTGAAAACACCAGGCTATTCCCCTCAGGGAACTCAGATAGCCTATCAGGCAGAACTGTATTAAATATTAAGTTGGATCATACCAGGTACCCACTGCCTGGCACCCAGTGAGATCTGTTGTACTATAAAAGTTTATTTCCCTTCTTCTTCAAACCAGGCTACTCTAAAGAAAGCCCTGAAAGATGATCAAGGGCCCATGCATTTTTATAACATTCTTCTTGTACCCAAGATAAATTTATCAGTTTTGGACATGATCGTTTACTGATTGTGTACATTATATCTTCATTATAACATGCTTTCATGATCCATACCTCACTGGACTTTCTTAACCATCTGCTGTATTTGGAAGGATAAGAATGGGTGTTTTCACTTCAGAGTGAAGACACTGAGGCACAAAGGTGAAGTGATTTGTCCAGGTCGCAGTAGGAATTCGAACATACATTTTCCAACTTATTCTTTCAGTAAATATTTCTTGAGTAGCTGCTAGGTGCCAACATTGTTCTAGACACTGGGGTCAAAGGCAGTGAATAAAACAAATTTGCATTAAATAGTTCAAGTTCTAGGGGAAGGAAGCAGACTGCTAACAAACACATAAACGCAGACTACATTAAGAAGTGATAAGCACAGTGGAGAAAAAAGTCAGCAGAGTAGAGATGATAGCATTGCTTGATACTATTAATAGTTTATATAGATTGCCTGGGAAGTACTTTCTGAGGAGGCTGGGGAGAAGTGAGGAGCTGGCCCTGTGGATACCATGGTGGAAAAGTGTCCAGGTAGGAGGAAGAGCAAGGCGTGAGGCCCTGAGGTGGGAACACGTTGGCACATTGTAGAGCAGCCAGAAGGCAGGCATGGCTGTAGCAGCAGCAGAATAGGGAGGTTGGCAGGAGAGGAAGCCAAGGAGAAGTGAGTAGTCCAGTTCATGGGGAACTTGTAGGGCATGGAATTCATGTTGGGTTTTACCCCAGGTGAGATGGGAGTCGTTGGAGGGCTTTGGGCAAAGCAGTGGCCACAGTGTGATTCAGCAGGTTAAAAAAGATCCTGCTGACTCCCACATGAACAACAGTCTGAAGGGCAGCAAGGATGGAAACAGGGAGACCAATTGTTAAGAGGCTACTGCAACCATTGAGGCAAGAAAGGAGCATGGCTGCCTGAAGTGATGAGAAGTGTCAGATTCTGGATCTATTCCTCAGGAAAAGGCTTCAGGATCTGCTGATGGTTTGAAGTTGGGGTGTGAGCAGGAAGAGCCCCTGATGACTCCAGGGCTAAGTAACTGGAAGAATGAAGTTGCTATGTCCAGAGATGAAAAAATCTCAGAGAGGAGCAGGTTAATGATAATCAAGATGTTTCTTTTTTCTTCTTTTTCTTCTTTTTAATAGAGATGGAGTCTCGCTCTGTTGCCTAGGCTGGAGTGCAGTGGTGCGATCTCGGCTCACTGCCAACCTCCGCCTCCCAAGTTCAAGCGATTCTCTTGCGTCAGCCTCCCGAGCAGCTGGGACTACAGGCACGTCACCACGTCCAGCTATTTTTTTTTTTTTTCAGTAGAGATGGGGTTTCGCCATGTTGGCCAGGCTGTTCTCAAACTCGTGACCTCAGGTGGTCTGCTTGCTCCAGCCTCCCAAAGTGCTGGGTTACACCACACCCAGCCAGGATGTTTCTCTTAAATATGTTACATTTGAGGTGCATACTGGAGCTCCCATGGAGAGGGCAGGGAAGGTGGAAAGAGGCAAGTTGAAGAGATTCTTTTGCCATTCTTCAGATTACATGTTATTTAAAGTCATAGACCTCAGTCAAAATCCCCAAGGGATTAAATGGAGGTAGAGAAGAGGACCAGTCCTTGGAGTGCTACAATGCATGGAGTTAGTAAGAGGAAGAGGACCCGGCAAGAAAGCTATGAAGGAGGGGCTTGCTAAGGTAGGAAGAAAACCCAGAGACTCCCGTCCTGGAAGTCGAATGAAGAGTTTTAAGAAAAGAGTGACCCAAAGGGTCAAATCAGTCATTGGTTAGGGTGACAAGTGAGAACTGACTTCCGGATTTGGCAAAGAATGATCCTTAGTGATCTTGACAATATCTGTTTGGGTGAAGTGAAGGTAAAAGCCTGATCGAGTAAGTTCAAGAGAATAGGAGGAGAGAAAGCAGAGAGTGCAAGCAGGTCCAACTCTTTGGGGAGTTTATCTGGAAAGAGGAACAGAGAAACAAGGAGGGGATGGGGATCAACACAGAATTTCATTTTAAAACATAGCTGGCTTCATAGCATGTTTTTGCATTGATGGGAATGGTCTACCAGAGAAGGAGAAGTTAATGAGGCAGGGGGGCCCTGGTATAGGGTCAATCCTCGGGAGTAGATAAGAGGAATGGGATCAATTTCAATCCCTAGAATGTCTTCTACTAAAATGACATGGCCTTTTATTCATAAAAGCATACATCTGGGGATAATTTTAAACTGCTTTCAAATGCAAACATTTCTTTTAATTACACAGCATAAGTTTACCAGGAGGTGTCAAAATATTGCCCAATGGATCATGGAGAACCTACCTTAGTGAACACAATGAGTTAGCCACTCTTCCTACTGGGTTCCCTCAGTATTGTTATACACCTAATTGCAGGTTATTTATGTGGCAGGCTTCCCTGGTAGATATGAACTCCCCACAGGGAGGGACTGTGTTCTGTTCCTGTCCTGCAGCCCCATGCCTAGCAAATGCATCTTCACAAACCATTTGGGAAAGGAAGGAGAAGAAGGAATAAAAAGAAAGAAAGTGAGAATTGGATCATCCTGCCCTTTTGAACCTCTCTACTTTCAAATGAGGCATGAGCCTGATACTATTTTGGAAACATATCTTCCCAATAGTAGAGTGAGGAAACTATTTATTTTCTTTTTAATTTGTGAAACACAAAGGAAGACAAGGAAGGGAATGAACATTTATTGAGTGTCCACAATGTACTAGGTACTCTACTAGCCAGTCACTTGAGTGATCTCTTTTACAGATAACCAACATGATTAGGAAAAAACTCCATTTTGCACACTAAGTCACCAGCACCACCATTAAGGTTAAATTGTCATGTGATGAAAGGGGATGCCCCATATAGCAGTGAGCTTTCCATCAATGGAGTTACATAAGCAAAAGCTGGATAATATCTATGGGGAAATCCCAGCACGTAATGGTCATTGGGCTTTATTAACTTATGGACCAATCCAATCCTGGGATTCAACGAGTCCAAATTATATAATTCTATAGGTGTATAATTGATACTTCAGGGTTTCTCATCATCCAAATATGAACACATACAAGTGTTATGTCAAGAGGCAATGCTGGCATAGTACTTCAATATGCAGATGCTGAGGTCAGACTGCTGGGGACAATATCTTGCTCTGCTGCTTACGAACCAGACTATGTGCCTCAGTTCCCTCATCTGTAAAATAAGAATAATAATAGGATAGACCACAATCTAAACTTCATTTAAAGTGCTTAGAACAGCATCTGGCATATAGTAAGTGCTCAGTAAATGGTGGCTATTATTTATTCAGTTCAACCAACTCATAGACTGCACCACCCTGGGACCCATGGGTATCTGTTTTGGCCTACTCTTACACATTAAACCAAAGCCAACTCCAACTAGAAAGGTTGGGCTCAGCAGACAGAAGCCCTTGGGAACTGAGTTACTTTGATGGGGGTACCAGCAGCCCCAGCCAAATGGCCCCCTTCCTGCTCCACAATCATACCCATCTGCCCTGGCTGGGCAATGTGCAGAGATGTTTATGGCGACCTCATTTATTTTCCTTTCTGTGACTGCTGCCTTCCAAAGGCCAGGAACTGCTGAAATTAAACCAAGGCAGGGGCCAGGGGAGCAGACAGGGCCTGGGCCAGGGCCAGGAGTAATGAAGTGGAAAATGTTCACACCACAGGCAGCATTACAATGCACCTGTACAAATAGAATGAGACCTGCCCACCCCCTTCCTCCCGGGGGCCCAACTGCCTTGCTGACTTCTCTTTATGGCTTCACTCTCTGCCTTGCCTGGTCAGTGCTTAGGCCTACAATGAAGATAAGAAACAAAGACACCTAGAGTGGAGCAATTAGAGAAGGGACAAAATCAGAAGCAAGTGAAAACAGAGATACCCTTAGCTCACACATTTCCTGAAAATTGCGGCAAGTTCTCTGAAGGCCCAGTCATCTAAAACATGGGAGAAATACAGCACAGTTAATGAGTGCCAACCACGCACTAGGATTTTAGCAAGGCACTTTCATATACCTTTGCACATTCCATTCATCCAGTACAGTTTAGCTCCATGTCACAGACAAGGAAACTGAAGCCTAAGAAGACAAAGCTGGCAGGTGGCCAAATCAAGATTTGAACCCAGGTTATTATCATTCCTATTTTATAATGAAGTTACTCAGAACCAGGGTGGTAAGTGACTTTCTCAAAGCCACATAGCTGTAGAGTGAAAACCCAGAGGTCCTGGGCTTTTGGGGTGGTGGTCACCATGGCACTAGCCAACAGGAAGGAGGCTTAAGAGAGATATGTAGGCCAGACCATCCTTGAACAGTTGGGGCAGTAAAGATGAAGGGTTTGGCTTCCCCAAGAAAGAGAGGCATGGGGCCATACTGCTACCATGATGGAAGACAGAGAGAGGACAAAGGCTAACCTTTGACCCATGTTTTATAGTTTTTGAAGCAGTGTGACTCTGGATGAGTCTCTCAATCTCACTGTGGCTCAGCTTCTCCATCTCCAAAATAGGAATTCTGTGAGCCTTAAGTGACGTGGTATATCTAAGGCCCAAAGATCTGTTGTTTGTCACCTCTCCCAGACTCAGTCACTTCACTGCCAGCTCCAACTGTAGGTGAGCAGAATGTCCGATCCAGAATCCATGCCTCCTAAGTGTTTGTTGTGTAAAAAAATGACTGAAAGATGAATAATGTCATCTTTCCATAATGTTTATCAGTATATCATGGTCTTATCTTTCTCAGAACTATTATAACCCAGTTGCTCCTAAGGCAAATTTTCCCAATCATATTTTGTGAAATGCTAGCAATCCTTGAGGTAGCCTTTGTCCTGAATAATTAAAAATAAAGAGTAAAAAATAATTTTGAGATACTTTGCTAAAATATAATTTAATGCATATACAGTTAACCCTTGAACAACACGGATCTGAACTGCATGGGTCTGCTTCTGCCTCTGCCACTCCTGAGACAGCAAGACCAAGACCAACCATTCTTCGTCCTCTTCCTCCTCAGCCTGCTCAATGTGAAGATGACAAGGATGAAGTTCTTTACGATGATTTACTTCCACTTAATAGTAAATATATTTTCGTTATAATTTTCTTAAGGAAATTCTTTTATTTTACTTTATTATATGAATATAGTATATAATACGTATAACAAAAATATGTGTTGACTATGTTATCAGTAAGGCTTCTGGTCACTAGTAGGCTATCAGCAGTTACATTTTTGGGGAGTTAAAAGTTATACATGGATGTTCAACTGTGCAGGGGAGTCAGTGTTCCTCACTTCCATGTGGTTCAAGGGTCAACTGTACATAAGAAGTACGTGCATGTGTGTATTCCTTATTATTACAGCATAGGATGCATAGTGCTGTGGTTTAAAAAAAAAAAAGGATGAGAAATGGCACACCTTAAATTAGAATGCCTGGTGGTCTTATGAGAGATTCCTGATTTACAAACCTGGAACATTCTGCTATAAAATGATACATAGGCGGCTCTAAACAACTCATTTATATTGCCTTTTGGATGATTGTCAGTCTATGTTATATATATATTTCTTATAAGAGCACCATGTATTTCTGATATTAATCCGTGTTTGTTGTGCATTAAACATATGAATCACTGTGATCATTTCTTGCAACAATTAAATCAGACATACTTTTCATTCCTCTTTTAATCCAAATGTACATTATATTTGTAGGTTCCTTTTGGTATTTCATCAATATGTTAATACTATTTTTCCTAGGTTTCCTACGTAAATAAATTTGAAAAGTACTATCCTTATGGAGGCGTATCATTGAATTGCTCCTGCCTCAACTTCCTGGTTTCCTTGGGGAAACAGACATTTAGAAATGGAGGGAAAAGTGTATGGGGGGTTATAGGTAATAAAATGAGGTTCCACAAAAGTTAAAGTTTTAAAAGAAATGAACCTCTTATAAATCCACTATTAACCAGGATGGCAAGGGAGCTGTAAAACATAGATAGATAAACAGAAATGAGCTTGTAAAGGATAGAAAGTCCTGCGCTAGGTTTAAAACAGAACCAGCAGTTTGTCTATATAAAAGACAGGCCCATGAAATGTCACAGAAAGTTTAAAATAATGAGGATGCAACCTTATTAGTTAGATAATTTTAAAGAGAAAGCAAGATTAGTTAAATATTAGACAAAGCAGATTTCAAAAGGAAAAAGATAACAATAATCACTTTATAATAATAAAATTTGTGATCCCAAGTGAGGACATGTCAGTAATGAACTCATTAAAATTAAAACACTGCAAACAATTTTGAAAAATGGAAAAAAATGAAGATTTCAGATTTTATTTATGCTTTACTTAATTTATTCATTTTAAATAAGAAAATGGAATTAATGATATTTTAACTAAAAAGCATTTTTAAATAAGCCATCCACACCAAAGAAAGAGTGATGGGTAGTAGAAAAGAAACTATAAAGACTAAAGTTAATTATTTTGAAAGCAGGAATAGAGTATATAGTGACTTCACATGTATTAATAAATCTAAAGACTGTTTCTCTGGGGTAAAAATAAATTATCCTTATAAACCTGTGACAAATCTATTCAAGAAAAGGGAAACAAATTAAAAATGCAGGAAAAATATAATACATATAGAAGATACAAATGTCCAAAGAATGTTATACATAGCTATATGGTTATGCTTCTGAAATTTTTTTATTAATTTGGATAATTTCTGGAAAAAAATTAATTAATTGGTTCAACAAGAAATATGCACACACACACACACATACACGCGCAGACACACACACATATCAATAACCACAGCACAATTTAAGAAAATTATCTTCAGGATTACCCTCTCCTTCAGCCTTGCAACCTCCAGGCCTTATATGGTGAATTCTCTAATACTTTAAGGGAAGAGATTACTATGCTGCCTAAAGTGTTCAACAACAGAGAAATATGAAAAGTTATCTCATTTTTTATAAAGCTATCATAAATCCTTATATTAAAATCTGACAGATAATACCAAAAAAGTATTCATAGTTCAGCTTCACATATTAATACGTTTGTGAAAATGCTAAATAAAATGATAGTGATTTGAATTCCACAGTATATTAAAAAGAATAATCCACCATGACTAAGTAGGGTTTATCCCAGGAATCCAGTGATTCTTAATATCATCTTGATGACTACAGACAGGAGAAATACAAACTCGAACAAATAATAATGAAGAACTACTGTTGACAAATTTTGGACATATCAAAAGACTACAATTATTAAAATCACATAATGCCAAATACAAGAAAACACAGGCAGGTGAGTGGAATATAGTACATCCCCAAAATGGGCCCCATTTTACATTTAAATGGAATGTAATAATACATAATAATATATGTAATTATTTATGTAATAATACATAATAATATATGTAATTATATATGTAATAATGTATAACAATGATGACATCACAAATTAATAGAGAAAAGAGAAGAGAGGAGATATGGGTGGGGAGGGGAGGAGAGCAACAGCTGCGTTTAAATATCTTAGGCTCATTGGCAGAAAGAGGGATCCTTCTCTCAGTTTAAACCTCAGAAGCAGCATCCTTCGGAATGGCCAACAGGGATGAAGATGTTTGCTCAATGAGTAGAAAAGCAGAGCAGTCTCCAGAGAATGCAAACAGGGCCCAGGATATAATTTGCGGGAACCAGTGCAAAATCTAACTGTGGCACTCCTGGTTTAAATGATGAACCACTTCAAGATGGCGGCAGCAGGGCATTATACCAAATGCGGGTGTGTGCCTGCACGGTGGCCCTGGCCTGGTCCTGAGTTTCCCATCACAGGAGACAGGAACTGGAGGAAACACTGCTGTGGACATTGTCAAGTGGCATCAAGCATGAGACAGACAAACAGACTAAATACTTTATTCTAAGATAATCAGTGATGACCATTCCCTTTGCTCTCACATTTTCATCAAAATCAAGAGGTAGGACATGGACACACCCTGGACTGCCATTTTGAGACTTGCCTCCTTCTCCATTGAATCACCTAAAACTGTGCCAGTTATTAATATATAGCGCTTGCTCATATATGTCCTGGAAATATAAAACTGTGGTTTGTGTTATGTAACTTTACTGTTTCACAGCATTTCCACACATACTACATTTGACGATGATAGAAAAGCATTATTTTCTTCATTTTACCTGAAAGGGAAGTTTGACCCAGGTAAGTTCTGATGTGACTGAGTCACACAGCTGGTGAATTGGCCAGGTGGGGCTCAAACCCAAGTCTTCCAATCCTAAATCATTCTATTATTTGTTTATCCATCCTTCCATCCATCCTAACTCCTACTCTGTACAACCTCCTTGGTAGGCCCTGGGGACTCCATAGCTCTTGGCCTTAGGAGCTCATAATTTAGTGGGAAAGACTGACACATACCCAAGTTCCACCATCCCATAAGATGAGTAAAACAATGAAGGTGAGTACACAAAACAGTAGCTGCACCGAATGCTGAACTCTATCTAAAGGGGCTAACAGAGCCTTCACAAAGAAAGCAGACACCTAGCAGGCTTTGAAGAGTGAAATTGAGTGCTTCCCATTACACAGCTAAATTGAACCGTCACAAAAAAAGACATAAGCTCCCCTGGGTTCTCAAGGGAATTTTGTTGGCAAAACAGGTCCACACCCAGTTGATTTAGTCCCATTAATGGGAACTTTGTGCCATAGGGAACCATTTGTAGAGACCAATTTCCCTAGCAAGTGATAAAGACCTGGGAACCCAGGTTAGGAAGTAGTCAGGAGCTGAGAATAGCCAGGAACCCAGAGATAGTCCACACCCCAAAAGTATATTCTATGTGTTGGACAAATGTAACACATCTCATTTGGGCTCATCATTAGCAGCAAGGTCAGTGACCAGGATCCTATACATGGTTCAGAGATAGCATTCACATGGAGCATGTTCAGGGTCTGTGCTGGATTGTACCTCTAGCAGGTATTAAGACCAGGATCAGAACATGTGACTTACCTCCTATCCAAGGCTACATTCACTTGCTCCATGAGGAAATAAGATGTCTGCCTAACAGTCAGAGAAATAGGCCTCATCATTCTTGGCTAATTCCCTTCATCTTTGTGGTTCAGTTTACCTCCAGGGCAAACATGACTGATAATGTCTGCTGCCTGCCTATTAATCCTAATAACCCACCTGAGATGTCAGCTGGAAAGCTCTAGCTCCACAACAGATTTTTTCAAATACTTGGCCACCAAGGTGTTCATTGCTATAATGAGTTTACATCAGAGAGAGCAGTGTTAGGAAAATAACAAAGTGGCCATGATAACATTCATCGTATTGTTAAACACAGCATGGTTATGAAGATGGATGATTGCATGCTAGTTTTGGCTCTGCCACTTTCTGGCTATAAGTGGGAGCCACGGGTGACTCAGCCTCAGTATCCTTTTATAGCAAATGAGCATGAGGTTACCTACCTTATAGAGTTGTTATGAGAATGAAACAACATAATAGACAAGAAAATATTTTCATGTTATACAATGCTATAGAAATGTTGGCTTTTATTACTGTTAGCAATAATATTCCATTGTACTCAGAGGAAATTTGTATCCCATTATAATTACAACCCAAATCCTCATTACTTGTGTGACATCCACATTACTTCTTTACATAGGAAACAATCACATTAAGGTAGGATGAATTTTAAAGTAAATTGCTCCAGAACATATAGGCTGATAGGACCTTAGTTGGGACCAGAACCACCCCCTTACCATCACAAATGGACCACATATACACATAGTCAAAGCCTAAATTAGGTTTCACAAGGGAAATATCTTAAGATCTGGGGCAAGTTGTCAACATCTCTTTGTAGCAATTGGTTCCTTAGTTGCCTCCCAAGGAACTGGGATCTAATGGTGGGAACCAAGACATGCCTAAAATACCATAATTTAAGGCATAAAGTATTAAGGCCATTAGCTTGACACAGGTAGAGTGTGAGGGAGGCATAAAAAAGACAAAAATCACCATTATCTGGATAGAAGAATCAAAGAAGCCTTCTGTAAGAATAACTTTTAAACTGGGTTTTGCAATGAACACAGATTACCAGTTTGCTGTGGTAGAAAGAGCATGTACTCTCAGTTCAGCAACTAACCAGTTGTTGACCCTGGTCAAACAACAGCCTCTACCTCTGAGCCTAAGTTTTCTCATCTGTAAGATAGGATAAAGCTACCAACTGGGAAGGATTAATGTTAGGGATAAATTACTAAGCAAACATTTGTTTCAACTGTAGACAAAAGGTTTTCATTTCCACTTAATACTTCTGCCCCTCAGTGAGTTCAACTTATGTTTCTAAAAACTAAAGGTGATAATTCAACCAGAGGGTATTTATGGAACATGCTATATGAGCCCAATAGAGTGCTGAAAGCAATTTGAGTATCATGGACTTGCAGTATTTGTTAAATTCTAAGATGCCTTTAAATGTAAAAAGCACCACTGATTTGATCATTTTTAGGCTTGGGGGAGATAACATCATATGAACATATCACTTATAAGATCCTTATTGATTTCAGAAAAATTAAATTTGAAAAAGTATGTTTTTGAATGTGAAGACATGTGGTCTATGATATAGCCTTTCCTCAAAAAGTAAGCAGTCCAGTTGGCAAAATAAGACTACATGGATGAAAAAGAAACAAACAAACAAAAAAGCCAAGTAAATACACAGCTAAATAATGCAGACAAATTACCAAAGATCTCAGTCCATCTTTCCTTTTTTTTTTAGAGCACATGGAGTTGTGCACAGGGTCTTACTCTTATATTGCTTACAACCCATAACCATAGGCCATGTGTTCAGACATTCTTGACCAAGCCTAAAGATTCCTGTAGACATCTAACATTAGATAGCCTTCAGAATTGCAAGTGCAAGTTCAAGTCAAACCAATTCAATTTTAACATTTCCTAAGCATCTACTCTGGGCACACTCTTGTGCTGAGTGCCGTGGGAAGATCCAATGCCTTGCTTATCCCTACAGTGCCCTCACAGCCCCTGGTAGAGCATACAGCACACAGTCAATGTGACTATTGTTTTCCAAACCTAGCTGAACAGATCCTATTATCCAAGTGAAGTCCAAATTCTTATGCAAATGAAACAGAACCAGTCAATCATTAGAGAATGGTCTGCATCAGTGCTTCTCAAAATGCCTATGGTAAAGGACCAGGTTTTTATTTTCAATCTGTGGCCAACTGATGCTTTTTGTAAAACACAAAATTACATGCTTGGATGCCATGGTGATGCCAAATTGCTATAAAATGTCTCAACATTCATTCTCAACTTCTGTACTTATCTCAGCAGGGACCCATGATGATTTGTAAACTGACACCAGTATGCAGACCTCACTTGGAGGAGCACCAGTCTATATGATTCCCAAAACCTCACTATCTGAAAATCTCAGAATGACTGGGAAAAGCAATTCACAAGTTTCATAAAGCACTAAATAATCATGATGCTAAGAATATTTATTGTTTTTCAAGTGCTTCTTATGGGAAAGACACCATCAATGATTAGAAACTTGTCTAATCCTATATTTTCATTGAGGAGACTGCTTTGAATCGAGGAAAGCAATCAGTGCACCCCTCAGTTCTCTTTGTCCATGGCTTAAATGGAGCAAGCGTGGGTATCTTTAGCAATAGAAAACACGGGGGCTCTAGAAGTCAGGCAGCTGTGGGTTAGTCGCTGTGCTTCTATTTACCATCGATATGAATTAGGGCAAGCAACCCCCATCTCACAAAGCCTTGATTTTCTTATCTGGACATATGGACCTCTGTTACCTGTGATTATTGTTTGAGATGTATGATGGATTGCTATGGTGTCAATGTAGTCATGAGGCAGTCGAGTGGTTTGTCATAGACTCCAATGAGAAATAGCAGCAGAGAGAAACATTCTGATGAGGCTCTCAGAGTAATAAAAGTCCTCAAAGCCTCTCTAATAAAGAACAGCTGAGGGACAAGAGAAGCGTGGCCTGGAAGAGAAGCAATTCAGATGGACAAAAGAGCTGCCTTCATTTTAAAAGAGCTGTTACGTGGGAATGAGCATGGCCTTTTCTGGTCCCAAAGCCAATATGAAAAAATTATAGAGAGAAAGATTTCTGTTCAAAGAAAGAAGTTTCTGGCATCCAGAGTGTTCCAAGGATGGAATGGGCTAGCTGGATTGGAGTGAGCTGCTGCTGGTGCATGAAGCCTGTGTCCTCTTGTCAGGGAAGCCTGTAGTGGGTGACAGTAGCAGGAGATCAAAGATTGGACTAGGTTGTCTCCAGGCATTTTCTGGACCTACCTTGACAACTCTGAAAATCCAAGAAGCAACTTTCTCACTGTGGGAAGAGCCTACTCAGCCTTTTGTTGACTTGGGTATATAAGGTAGTAGAGTTAGGCAGATGTCAATAAGTCAACCAAAACTACTAAAAATGGCAGAGTGAGTGCTGAAAAGTGGCCCTATATCCCTTTTATTTGTCTAGCCTTGTATAGTATGTGAATCATCTTCACACATTGCCTCACCCACAACTCTGGGAGGTTTTACAGATATGAAGCAAAGGCTCAGAGAAGTTCCTAGTTCAGCAAAGAATTCACACCCAGAAAATTAGAGACCCAGGGCTCAAACCAAATAGTCTGATTCTCAATCCCAAGCTCTTCCCACTGCCCTCTGACCCAGCTTCCATTCATCCCTTTCTGAGACTCAGTGTTCCTATCCTAGGTAATCATACCCACCACAACACTTAGGCTGCTTGTGAAGGTCAGAGGTGGAAAGGTATTTGAAAATGCTTTGAACAATTAGAATAATTTCCTTCCTTCCTTCCCTGCCTCCCTCTCTCTTCCTTCCTTCCCTTCTTCCTCCCCCTTCCCTCCTCCCTTCCTCCCTCACTTCTTCCCTCCTTTCCTTCCTTCTCCCTTCCCTCCTTCCTCACCTCCCTTCCTTACTTCTTCCTTCCTTTCTCCTTCCCTCCTTCCTTCCTACCTCGCTTTCTCCCTCCTTTCCTTCCTTCTCCCTTCCCTCCTTCCTCATCTCCTTTCCTTACTTCTTCCTTCCTTTCTCCTTCCCTCCCTTCTTCCCTCTCTCCCTCCCTCTCTTTTTTCCTTTATTCCTTAAATGTTTACTGAACAGATTTAATGTTCCAGGAACTATGACAATTAGCTAGTAGGCCAAGATGAATAATACACAGCCTTCACCTTCAGGGACCTACCAGTCTAGCTGGGGGGTACAGACATGATCAAGAGAAAGTCATAAAGTGTGTCAATAGTGAAAATGTAAATGTGTATGATGAAGATTGTTCAGAGGCAGGGGTGATTAATTCAGGTCGAGGAGTGGAATGGTTAGAGGAGACTTCCCAGAGAAGGTGACATCTGAACTAGGCTTGAAAGGAAGACTTGCAGCTCACCAGGCAGGTGGTGTTGGAAAGGTTTGGGTGGGGAGGGAGAGGCTATTTCAGGAAAAGAAATGAACATTCACTAAGCCATGAAGATTTAGAACAGCATGGTATATTCAGGGGCCTGGAAGTAGAACTGGGGGCGGGGGGTCAGGTAAGCACCAGGAGTAGTGATAGGCGGGACTAGAGAGGTCAGTGGCAGTGGGGAGATTCAATGCTAGCTTGAGGAGCTGTGATTTTCTATCTTGAGTGAAATGAGGAGTTTCTAAAGTGATTCAGTCAGAGGAGAGACATAGTCGGGGTATTTGAAGAGTACTCGGGTATCAGAGTGTAGAATGGATAAGAGGGGAGAGGCTTGTGATTCTCTTTCCTCCTTTTCCATGCCCCAGATGCATTCTCAGCACTTTTCTGCTCTGCTCTGTGCCCAGGAGGCTGGCCCTTGCAGACTGTTTCTTCTGGGCTCCCCTGAACTAGGCTCCGGGTCCAAACAATGGGAAGTACCAACAGGGGGAAAGTGGGTAGACAGTGCATTGTGTGATTTCTCTCCTGCTCTCTCCCTATTGCCACACGGCCTCTCTGGCTATGCCCCACTGGGCAGCCCTTCCTCCACAGTTCCAGTTCTCACTGGGCTTCAATATCTGTTTCTCTCCCTTGTCCCTTTGGTTGTAGAGATAACAGCTTCCAACTGTTGCTAGTCTCTAGGTGCCTCAATATCCCTTGTTTATTCCATTAACCCTTCTCCACCCCTCTAAGCAGTTCCTTCATTAATGTTTCTTCATTTGAATCATGTGAGGTGAATTCTGCTTCCTGCCATTTCCCTATAGGTCATGGTCAAGGTTGAATAAAGGCATAGAGAGAGGCAGAATCATTGCAGTAACCAGAGAGTGGGAGACAGAAGTAGTGGGGGTGAAGAAGAGGCAGCAGAGTGCAGAATCTTTCCAACAGAGAGACAACAGATTTTGATTTCAGCTTCTGCAAGGTTTGCAGGAGAGAGAAGGTCCTGAGAGGTTTCTGACTTGGCAGGACATTCCCCAAAATGGAGAATTCAGAAGAAGCAGGTTCCGGTAGACTGATGAGATTAATTTTGAGCAGCTGAGTTTGAGGTACCTTTGGGCCATCAAGAGAAGATGTCCAGGAGGCAGATGGATTAAAGGATCTGGTGTAAAGATTTAGCCAAACCACCAGCATACAGAGCTAATAGCTAAGGTCCATGGACAACAGAGAAGTGCACTAAACTTGCCATAAGCTCATCTCATTGGTTCTGTATTAATAATTATTGATATGAAAATAAGTAGAGTTATAATGACCCAAGATTTCACAGAAAACTCTATTCAGAAGTGCCTGTTTTGTGCCATGATTAGTTGCCCCCCTCTTAAAGATGTAGGGGTTTGTTTTTCAAATCCATGATTTTCCCTGGTGTTCCATTTAGTCATTCCTATTTTTCACCACCAGATTGTTTGCTGGGGAAAAGAACAAAAACAGCAACAGATGTCTTTGTTTTGGGGTTTTGCAAAACTCCCTGGTTAAGATAACACTTTCAATTAAAGAAATTATATCATCCAAATACCATATGCCTATAAGCCTGCAATTGCAAAAATCACCTGCTTTCTGAAATTATTTGAAGAGTCCCTTTAACCACCACTCAGTAGCTCAGTTGGGCATCCAGTTAGGTCCCTCTCTTCTTTCCTGTGGATTCGGAAAGCTTCAGTTCAGAAAGCTAGTCAAGAGGGGCATCCTCTGATTTGTTCTCAGAGCTTCATAGACACTCACCACTAAGTTCTGAGTCTTCATGTGCACCGCCACCCCCCCACACACACACACCCGTATGTGGGTAGCCTGTGTACTATTCATTGCTCATTAGGACCTGGCATATTTTAGGCACTTCGCAAACAGCTGTGGAATAAATTAACTAACTTCTTCTATCCTTTCTTCCTCTTTCTCTCTTTTTTCTTCTATAGCTTCACATTTCCTGAAAGACTTCTGTGCCACATGGTTGCTAAGCACTGAGAGCACAAAGATAATTAAGCTGATTCCCTGTCCTCAGCACACCCATAGTCTAGTGGGGAGATGGTTAAGTAGAAGGAGAATGCTAATTCCAGGAAGAATAAGAGCTTCTTAAGAGAAAGAACCAGGCTTCATTCCCTTTGTAGTCCCTTTTTGCACAGTGCCAGGAACTCTATAGACATTCAGTAAATGTTTGCTGAATGAAATGTTTGTTGAATGAAGTATGCCTTACCCAGATAAGCAAGCCCTATACTGCAGAAGCACAGGAAAATCATGCTAAAAATCTGAGTGGGAGTGAGCAGAGGAGGATTCATTGAGCAGGTGGTATGTGCCCTGAGAGCTTAAAAGGGCTGGGGGAAGGCAGCAGAGCAGGGCCTGCTGTGCTGGAGGAAGCACTTCCGTCAAAGCACAGAGGTGTAACTGTGCTTAGGAAAACACCATGAACCGTGAGCAATCCAATTTGGCCACTACATCAGGTGAGAGGAGGACATGTGAGCTGAGCCCCAGTGTAGAGGGTCTTCAAGGCCTGCTTTGAAGAGTCTGAGCTTTGTGAGACATTGAGGACACACTGCAGGCTGTGACAAACATGAGGTAGCATCTAGTCCAACTCAAGCCTACTGTGATAGACTCACCCACCCTGTCCTGTATTGTGAACATTAGGTAAGAGTCTGATCTTTCTTATTTGACTACAAGCAATTTCAGATTGGGGATTTGAATTCAATATTTATGGAATATGCAGCTGGATACTTTTTCTGCCCAACTAGATCCACTCTCTGCACTACCCTATCCAGCTCTGTGCCCCTGGAGGCTGACCATGTAGATGATATCAAGGGGCTCCCTTGTCCCCAGTCTCCAGTTGGTTTTGGCCAATGGGTGCCACCAGCAGGAGATCAGAACTGAAAGGAGAGTGAGGTTAGGGTATTTCCTCTCCTGGCTCCTTTTCTGTCAGGTTGCTGTGGGTTAGCTGCATTTCTCTACCAAAGACCACAGCTCTTGAAAGGCTACAGCCCTCTCTATGAGGCTACCTCCTCCTGGTTCCATGACCATGCCTTCCCCTCACCCTTTCAGGCCCGGGGAAGATAACAGTGCCCTTCTGTTGCTAGCCTTCAGATCTAGCAAGATCCTTCATTGCTTTCTCTATGCCTGTAACTCTTTCAATAACTCTTCACCTCAAACTGCCTGGTTTGAGTGTTCTAAGACTTATGCGAGCACCTTGCATATACTAAGTACACTCTAAAGTGCTTTTCATACATTTATTAATGTAATCCTCTCAAAGTATCAGGTAAATATTAGTTTTCCCACTTACAGGTTAAAAAAAATACCTGAAGTTCAAAATTTTTAGATAATTGGTAAAGACCATCTTCTACAAGTTGGAATCCCCCCATTTTAGAGTAGTTCCTAGCACATGACAGCTCCTTGACTGAATGTATGAGTGGACACAATATTGTACATACTAAATACTAACATGAGTGTTAGAGATCACAAGAGCTTTTGAAATTCAGTGGTAGTAGGAGTAGCTTTGGAATCAGAAAAAGCTGAATTAAAATTGTAACTCCACTACTGACCATTTCTCTCAGCCTTAATTCCTTGTGTGGAAATTTGCATGACAATTCCTACTACATAAGGTGGTTGTAAGGATTAAACAAGATAATATTCCAACAATACCCAGGATAGAACAGGCGCTTTGTAAATGGTAGGCTTAATTATACACACTCTAATTAATAGTCACAGCAGTGTTGAAAACCCACATGGACAGATAACCTCAATGAAATATTCTTTTCTTCTCTGCTCTGAATTATTGCTCCAAAACACAAATACATACAAACATACATACAATTCCTCATTAGATAAATTAAGTTGCCAGTGCTTGAGGTTTCTTGTTCATACTGTTCCTGTTTCTTTCACTTGGCCATCTCAAAAGCTTCACGTTGGGCCAGGCACGGTGGATCATGCTTATAATCCAGCACTTTGGGAGGCCAAAGCGGGTGGATCACTTGAGATCAGGAGTTTGAGACCATCCTGGTCAACATGGTGAAACCTGGCCTCCACTAAAAATACAAAAATTAGCTGGGTGTGGTGGCAGCCACCTGTAATCCCAGCTACTCGGGAAGCTGAGGCAGAAGAATCACTTGAACCTGGGAGGTAGAGTGTATTAGTCTGTTTTCACCCTGCTAATAAAGACATACCCGAGACTGGGAAGAAAAAGACATTTAATTGGACTTACAGTTCCACATGGCTGGGGAGGCCTCAGAATCATGGTGGGAGGTAAAGGGCACTTCTTATATGGCAGTGGCAAGAGAAAATGAGGAAGAAGCAAAAGCAGAAATCCCTGATAAACCCATCATATCCATGAGACTTATTCACTATCATGAGAATAGCATGGGAAAGACCAGCTCCCATGATTCAGTTACCTCCCCCTGGGTCCTTCCCACAACATGTGGGAATTCTGGGAGATGCAATTCAAGTTAAGATTTGAATGGGGACACAGCCAAACCATATCATGGAGGTTGCAGTGAGCCAAGATCATACCACTGCACTCCAGACTCCAGCCTGGGCCACAGAGCAAGACTCTATCTCAAAAAAAAAAAAAAAAAAAAAAAAAAGGTTCATGTTGGAGATTGTGCAGGTAGAAGGGATGTTAACAGGAGAAAGAAAGAAGGAAAAAGACATATTTGAAAGCTACCACGTACCGGGCACTTTCATATTCTCTCATATTTCATTTTCACAAGAACACACAACACATAGACAGAATTCCTGTCTATGTGATGAACTTGGTGAAGTTCAGAGATGGTAAGTACCTTGCTCAAGGTCATACAGCTTGTACAGAGTGCAATCAGGATTTGAGCTCAGGTGTTCTAGTTCCCAAGTCATATTCAGCCCTCCCCATGCCTTACTGTGGGCTCTAAGCCACCTCCCGCAGCCAGGTGGATTCCCCCATCTTTCACTTCACTGGATGCTTATGTGTCTTCCTTTTTAGCTCAAACATCTTCAACTGGAAGCAGCCAACCATTCCAAGACACATGATAATTACTCACTTAGGAGTAAGCCACACGTCTTTCCTGCTTTGCTTTGACAGCTCTTCTCTTTTGTTTCCAGGGGAGAAATGGCACATTAACAAAATTCCAATAATGAATATGATGGTGACAAAGCAGAGAGAAAGCACAAACAATAGGAGGAAATGTTGAAAGATTCCCTTTCATCTCCTAACGGCAGTCTGAGGCTGGACATGTCTACTCCTGGGAATAGAATCCAAGGGCAAAAGTCCCTCACGATAAGGAGGCCACATTTTGTAAGTGCATGGTTACTCTTCCTTCCGTTTTTTAAAAATATTTTTCTAACCAGGTCTCCGGAATTGAATATAAACACTGCCAGTGTTGTTTCATCCTTTCCAAACAACATTCCACTCCCCAGCTGCTAACGCCCCTGTTGAGAACTTGAGTGTCTAGATAAATGGGCCCATGCCTTTGAAATCTTGGGAAAAAGAGGTGAGACATAACAAAACACACAAGCTCTGTTCTGATTCTGCTTCCATCTTCAGAATGACTCTGTGAGAGCGATCCTGAGGGGAAAATAGGACGGAAACTCGGATTTGATCTTCACTCACCCCAGAGCCTCAGCTGCGCTCAGAAAATGAGGGAATGAGAAGAAAGTGGAATTGGACAGAAAGCCTTGCTTTTGAATCCTGGCTCCTGCATGTATTAGCAAATGACTCAACACATCTGAGCCTCAGTTTCTTCAGCAATGCAGTGGGGACAATAACATCTACCCCTCAGAGCTGTTATGAGGACTCAAAAGATACTCTGTCCTGTGGTTTGGTACCCAAGCTGGTCTCTTTGGGGCTCAGTCTGGTGCTGGTTGATGGGTGTGGCCACCCCATACCTACTCCTGCAGCCTTTTCAAAGAGAAGGAAGCTTCAGTGTGAGCACTTTGAAGCATCTGCTTACTGATCTGAAGCCTCCTCAAGTTGAGCCCTTGGGATGCACAGCTGCACTCAGAGATGAGGTTTCACAGCTCAGACTACAAAAGCTTCAACAATTCAGCGTGTTCACCACTCTCTTTTTCATTTTTAATTATTGTTTTAAAAAGGGAATTACCACATAGAAGGCAGGGGCAGAGAGGAATGGGGAAGTGAGGAGCCACTGTGAAGACAGGAGCTGGGCAGACCAGTCTGGCTAACGAGGTTGGTTGAGCCTATCTTATCAGAAGATCCTTGTAGAAGGATTGTTGAACAACATAAGGATCAGACAAATAGCAGTATAGCAGCCAGGCAGACAGAAAGGAGCCAGAGCCCCACATAGCCTAAAAAAGAGCAAAAAGCAGTTTATTTGTTTATGTAACAAATTTTTTTTAGTACAAACTACATGCCAGATGCCAAGCTAGATAGAGGTGGTGTATATATCTCTGAGTGAGACTAAAACGACCCCAGTTTTCCTAGAGCTTATATTTTTGTTGACCTGGAATCAAATATTTAATAGTTGTGTACCCTCAAGCATGTCATTCTACCTCATGGAACCTCAGTTTTCTCACCTATAAAATGAGAATACCCACCACCAGGGCTGACACCATAGGTCTTCCTGAAGGGCTTATGACTCTTCGAATATTTATTTAACATTCTTTAGAAGAGAATGTATTGGATGAGGGAAGAGCTAAGAGAGCATGCATGGCAGGTCCAGGAGCTGGAGTTATGCAGGGCACAACCTCACAAGCACGCCTGATGCCCCAGGATGGCAGCATCCCACCTAAGCGCTCCATGTGGCTCAGCAAAAACGAGTCCTGTGATCATCTCAATCCACCCTCCATGGAAGATAGTTTAGCCACTTGCAGGCTTATTCCTCCCCTCAGACAGTTTATCTAACCTTCTTCCAGCCACGTACATTGTTCTGTCTCAGAGCTCTTAAAATATGTCTCCTATTTCCAGTGATACTTAATCCCATTTGAACCCTGGTAGATTGAGTTCCTGTTCAACTGGCCAAACTATACCATAACCCAGCTCGGTTTACTTCCAGGATTTGAAGAGTTAAATGAAAAAGAATATGTAAAGCAGGACCTGGCAGGCAGGACCCACTCAACAGGAGATAGCCCTCATAATCTCCATGACTTTTACCACAAAGCTGTTGGAGAAGTAAATTAGGTGATACAGAGGGAGTGGTATCCAAACAATGCTCTATAGATCCCAGTATCATTATTGTCCATTTTATCAGTGGTAGGAGCAACAGAGGCCCAATCAGCAAACTAGATAGCTAAGGGTCTGAAACCTCAGAACAAACTAAGGAAAGCAGAGTAAGGATGACCAGAAACACCTCATAGTTTGCAACCCCGTGGACAAAGACATGCCTGCTCCTCTGCTCCTGCACAGATTCAAAAGGAAACCCTTTCCCCTCCCCCATTCTCTCCTACCTCCCCAATCCCCATCCCAGCTTCCGCCACCCAGCCTACATTATTTTCTGGGCCCCTTTAATTTGGAGGCTTTTAGGGCCACATCCTGCCATCAATTTGGGGGCTGACTTCAATGAACGTTCTGTGCAGGGCGGGAGAGGGGCAGGATACAGCTTTCTCCTGGCGGGCCCTGATACAATAGGGTTTTCTACTGAGATCAATGGATTAATTGCAAATGCTCCATTTGGGGCCATAAGGAGGTGCATTGTTTTCCCACAGTCGGCTGGCTGTCAGGGCTTAGGCTTGCCAAACTTCATTTTTGAAAAGTCAGGGAAAACAATTTTGTGAAAAAGGGGTAGGGGTGGAGGGGTACAGCACAGTAATTTTGATCATTTCACTAAAGGTCAATAACAATTATAGCGAAAATTCAGAAGGCACATTTGTTCTCTGACTGAGGCCCTGTCTGGAAAATTCCATCCCGAAACAATTTGCTGTCTCTCTTCCAGCCCTCCCCTCCTCTACAAGGCTCTCTCTCCACCAACGCCCCAGCCCACTCCTAACTACCCCATCCTCTGGCTCCTCCCACCACATCAGAAACTCTCTCCCCTGGAAACAGCCTTCTAGGTTGAGAAGGAGAAGCGACCAGGGAATTATCTTCCTTTCCCTCGGGAAGGTGAGATGGGTACAGTGGCATCATTCCTTTCTCCCTGGGGTTGTGGAAGTGTTTACCTGGTGGTGGAAATGGCACGGGCATAGGGGAATTAAAGTCCTACTTCTAATAGTTAATAGCTGATACTTGGGAAAATTCAACTCTCTGAACATCCACAGTGTCATCTGTAAAACGGGAATAGTAATCTGGACCTTGTGGGATTACTGTGCAGATGAAATGAGAAGATTGAGACACCATCCAAACTACAGTAGATGCAGCATAAATGCAGGGCTCAAAACCACCTAAAGCAAGAGGTTCTGATCATGGCATTTCTCTGTGTGGAAACCCCTCATGGCACACTACCTGCACACCATCAAGGCCACATCTGTTGGCCTGACATTCAAAGTCCTCCACTTTCTGCCCTCCTCCTCCCTTTCCAGCCTCATTTCCCACTCCTTCCTCCCTCCCTCCCTTTTCTGTGCATAACCTGTCCTTTCTCTATCCTAGCCACTGTTCTAACTCTGAATTCCGAAATGCACATGTTGATATCCTACCCATCCTAAGACTGTCAACTTCTCCAAAAAGTTAAATTCTTTCAGCTGCGATGAATTATCTCCTCTATACTTAGCACCTTGCTTCTTCCATGCCTTCAAAACTCCATATTCTACTTAGCTATAGTTCTCTCAATCCCTCACTGATTCATCAAACACTTAGAATTGTAATTCAGAGCCCAGCCCTGGGGTCATGAGTGTCTGAATTTGAAACTCAGCTCTACTTCTTGCTTGCTGTAGGATCTTGGCCTTTCTGTACCTCAGTTTCCCCATTTGTAAAATGGGAATAATAACTGTAACTACCTCAGAGGCAGTTAATATGAGAAAATACGTGTAAAATCCTTCAAAGAATGCTTGGTACATGGTAAGTGCTCAGTAAATATTGGATAGTATTATTGTTAAATACCTAGTCTGTTTCAGAGCCTAAGAATACAGTGATGGATAAGACAGGCTTTTCTTCAACAAATATTTCTTAAGTGGCTTCTATATGTCAGGGATTTCTGCTACTTCTAGGGGGAAGAAGAAAGGAGTGGAGATAGATAATAAACAGAAAAAAATAGATAAACGAGAAAAATATCATCTTGTGAAAAGTGCTACATTGCCATTTACAGTAGATTTAAGTGATGGAGCATAGGTGAAGGGCTTTTTTAGGCAGAAGGCTGAGAAAGCCTCCTCGAGGAGGTGGCATTTAAGCTGCATGAACTAACCCTTAGCTCCCACTTCCTGTAAAGGTGAGCAAGAGCTCCTACAAGGGAGTGGCATAGGTGCTGGCTAGGGATGTAGGGGTCGTGATTGAATACAATTAGGTAATGTCTTCACAGGATGGTAAACACCCTTGTATTCTCTTGAAGGAGCTGAAACGTATGAACACCACAGCTTCAGGGCCAGGCAAAGTTGGGTTTGTGTCCCAGCAGTACAACTCTCCAGACTTTGAGCCTCACTCTCCTCTTCTATACAATGGAGCCAATGACACCTCTTTCCTGTGTATTAGAAACACCACCTAAGAAGATGTAGATAAAGTGACTGCAAGGTAAGAATTCCATAAATATTAACTCCCCTCCCCACCATATCAGAGAACCCTAAAGTTGAGAACTGCATTTCTGTACATATCACTATATTAAAAACCTAAAGGGGAAAAAAATGGACTATTCTAGTGACTACTTGTTCATCTCCCACTCAAATGCCAAAAAATGTTTTTTCAAGGGAAACAAAATAGTAGGAAAAGGAAGGATGCTTTAAAAAAAAAAAAAAAAGTCTCTCTTCTCCCTTGCCCTAAAAAAAAAAAAAAATGGTTTCTAGAACATCAAAAGCTCCTCAAAGGATCAACAATATTTTTTGATGATGGAAGTATGAATAATCAAACATATGGATTGCATTTCTTTAAATTATGCAGTACCTAAAAACCAGGAGGGAAAAGAGGGTGCTGGTAAAAATGTTTTTCACATTTTATTAAAACCTCAAGTTCTGAGAAATACTTTTATGACTATTACACACACACACACACACACACACACACACATATATTTTTCTCTATCCAACTTTCAAGAAAAAATAAATTATCACAATGAGCACTTTCTTCCTGCTCAAAGTGTTGTTCTGGCCAGTTCTAATTCTTCAGCACCAGCTTCATTCATAGAAATTAGGGGACCATAAAATGGTTTGGCTCCCAAGCTCTGCTAACATAGCAGTTGTGTGACCTTATGCAAGTCACTTAAATTCTCCAAGCTTGGGCTTTCTCTATTGTAAATAGGAAGCAAAGTCCAGACTTCACAAATGGTGGTGAGAATCAAATAGAATGAGACCCTATTTGAACAAACCTTGTAAATTGCAATGTCAAGTTCATGTGAGAGATGGAAATGGCTCCAGGAAGCTATCTGTGCCTGGACAGGGATACCAGCAATGGTTAAAGAGGCCAAGTGCCCACCTTCAAACTCCTGCTCTGCCTATTATAAGTTGTGTGTTTCTGGGCAGATAACTAAGCCACTCTATGCCCATTTACTTATTTCCAAAATGGGATATTGCTAACAATAATGGTATCTACATCACACAGTGGTAATGAGGATTAAATAAGTAAATATTTATAAAGTAGTTAGGATAGTGTTGGTGTTTGTTCTGAAGGAGAGAACACGAGAAGAAGGAAGGAAGGAAGGAAGAGGGAGAGGAAGAAGGGATGGAGGAAATAAACATCCCACTAGAGATCTCCTGTGCTGGAAATTCACCATTTAGTCCTTGGTATTAAGTATTATCTTTTCTAAGAGTCCTTTTTGAAAATGCAAATGTTCATAAAAGGCATGGCATAGCAATTCAAATTTAATGTGCATTTATTGAGCAAGTACTGTATGCAAGGCATTGTGTTGTGTCATATAATCCTCTGACCCCTTCGAGACTGGGAGTGGGGAAGGTGACACATGGAATCAAGAGGAAAAGGGGAGACAGAGGGAGAGAAAGAGACAGAAGGGCCATTTCCCCTACAGTGGATTTGGCATTGAAAGGACTTGGGTCCATATGTCGGCTCTGCCAGTCACCAACTCCATGATCTTGGACAAGCATTCACCACCTCAAGTTTTACCTTTTAAAAAATCAGGATAATGACAATTAGGTTGCTGTGGTGACAAAATGAGATCATGTGTGTACACATCTAATTTTTCTCCTCCCTACTCCCCATTTTTGTGACATGCCTCCTGTGACTTCTATGCACTGGATGGAAAGGAATTGCTAATGGCTGCAGCTAGAGGACTAAAGTCAGAACTCTGTGAAGAGGACATCAGTTTGCCACTTTCTCTGTTCAGTAAAAAGGCAATTTTTGTGGAGACCATGCTCCACTAACTCATAGGAAAGCATTTTCTCCCTGTGACATCTCCAGTCGATTTCAGCCGGCAGTAACCAAGTGACTAACTCTTCCTCCAGGGGCAAAGAGCCAGACCTGGTGTTTGACTTCTCCCTAGCCTCCCAAGTGCAGAGATGATTCCTACCGGATACTGGTCCTTGGAGGAAATGGGAGAGAAATTCAGCTTTGGCTTTAGCAATTCAACTGATAAAGGAGGCAGGGAAAAAGCTAAGTGAGACAGAGAGACTACAAAGCCCTCTTCCTGGATCCTGGCAGATGCCAAAGGAAGAATCTGCGAGTGAGTAATTCTGCAGCCTGGAGCCCAAAGGCTGCAGCCAGAGGTCTGTGCCAAGAAGGCAGCGGGTGCAGGAGAGGTGGGCGGCTCCTGGGCTGGCCTTAACCGGATGGGGGACAGCTCAGTGTGAGTCAGAGGCTGAGCCTCTGCTCCAAGGGCCTCCTGCAGGCCACATCCATTCAGATAGGCCTCCCACGAAGGAAGCTTTCCCCTGCATAGACTCAGGTGGCCTTTATTGTGATAGTGTGTCATCAGTAGGCATTGCATGCAGATGATAGAAAATTCCTGCGGTCCAAGCACAAGTCTGCACAAAAACAGAACAGATAGTCAAGGACGCAGGTATCAGGTCTGTGCCCAGGTTGTGGGCTGCCGAACTCCCATGCTGAAAATGACAACAGCTATCATTTATTGAGAGCTCACCTGGTCCCATCACTGTGCAAAGTGCAAGCCAGCTCCAAAGCCCTTATGTGCAACTACTAAACATTTTGGTCTCCAGAGTGTACAGTAGAGCTAGGAGAATATTAGGTAAGCCAGTTCTCTAACTACCTCAGTTTCCCCATTGCAAAATGGGGATGATATTTGCCTACATTATGGGTTACTTTGAGAACTGCAGCACAGCAATTCAAAATCCAGGCTTTTGAGTCAAAAAGATCTGGGTTCGAGTCCCAGCTCTGCCTCTGATTTGCTGTGTGAGCTTGAGCAAATGTCTTATCCTCTGTGAGCTTCAATTTCCTCATGTTTTGTGGATCGTAAGAGAACCAACCTCAAGGGTTATGACAAAAATTAAATGAGATAACATATGAACCTGCTTCCTCATCTGTAAACCAGAGAAAATAATACACATTTTTCTCATTGTTGTGAAGAGTAAATAACATTTTAAGATGGTTTATTAATATATTTCATATTCAGTAGGTTCATGGTTATTATTATCATTATTACCATTTCCATCAAATAAGCCATTATATAAAAAGTTATTGATAAATTTTAAGAGGCTGTTTTTGATCAAAAATATATTGTTTACTATATTTAAACAAGGCTCTAAATGTGGTAATTAGTATTTTTATTATAACTGCCATTTTCCTCATATACTACAATCTCAGTATGGGGCAAGGGAGCAAAAAACTCACTTGATCTCTCTGAGTTCCTTTTCAGGAGAAATTTAGGTTACATTAGGATTTTCAACCTCAGACCTGTGGACCCAAAAGGGTCTGGGAAAGTAGTAAAGGCAGTGAGAGAAGGGTACCTAGAGGTATTTTCAATATTCCAAAAGGTATGGGAAATCATATACTTGTCAATAATGTGACCTCCACAGACTATCTTGAAGACCAAGTTTCTTTTGCTTCAGGTTGAAATTGTAGTGGCTTGGCATGGCACTACTAGTTAACTGCTGTTCCCCCGACCTTCTATCTGGCTGAAGTGTGGGCAATAGACAAGCTCTGTTAATACCGTGGGACTCTGGAGCCAGAGTCCCTGGCTCCCCACTTATCAGCTGTATAAACTTAGGCAGGATTTATAACCTTTCTGTGCCTCAGTCTCTTCATCTGACAATACTGGATAACAATATTGCTTCCCCATGGAGCTATCATAAAGAACCATATAAGTAAAGCAGTTAGGATAGTGCCTGGTCCACAGTAATCACTCCATATGATGAACTCAGTTGTCATTGTCATTGCTATCAGATTTCAAGAAACACCTTCCCAGACTCAAACATAAATAAATCATCAATGGTAACAATTGGAAGCATGTTCAGAGTGAGTTTCTGTGATGGGGAAGAAAGAGAGCCCACACTTATTGGATGTGTATGAGACACTGGGCTACATGGTACAGATGTCATTCTATGGGATTTGGCTCACCATGATGTAAGATGAGTGTGTTACAAAGGAGGAACCAAGGCTCAGAGGGGTCCCAAAGTCACAAAACTAGCAAGTAGAAGAACCAAGATTCCAATACAGCCCTTCTGGACCCCACAACAAAATTTCGATGAATTATACCATGGGGATGCCAGGAGAAAATTAAATTACAGAGGGTAATTTTTCTCTTTTTTTTTTTGAGATGGAGTTTTACTCTTGTTGCCCAGGCTGGAGTGCAATGGCGTGTTCTTGGCTCTCCACGACCTCCGCCTCCCAGGTTCAAGCGATTCTCCTGCCTCAGCCTCCTGAGTAGCTGGGATTACAGGCATGCGCCACCATACCCAGCTAATTTTGTATTTTTAGTAGAAACGGGGTTTCTTCATATTGGCCAGGCTGGTCTCGAACTCCTAACCTCAGGTGATCTGCCCACCTCAGCCTCCCAAAGTGCTGAGATTACAGGCGTGAGCCACCAGGCCCGGCTCAGAGGGTAATTCTTAAACAACAGCATGAAAGTCCTTAGTCTAGGGTTGTAGATGCTTGGTGACATGGAGCATTCTTCTCCTCTTCTGATATTGGCAACACTGAGAAAAACTTCTGAGCCCTCTTTGGAGAGAAAGGAGTCATAGAGTTCTCCCTCTCCTGGTGGGCTTCAGCTTCTCTTGTTATCCTTGGAATCCATACCCATATTTATGATAGCCACAGATTTAAACAGTTCTGAGGAGCCTTGGTTGAAAATCACGTTTCTCATCTTGGCAGTGGCAAAGAAGTAATTTTTGCTTCCCAATTCACTTTAATTGATCTTTTAACTAATGTATTCAACCCAAGACTTGAGAAGGTAGCAAAGAATGACTGACACTCGTTCACACGTGTGCTCATTCACTCCACAAACACACACCGAGCCTTCTGTGTCCCAGGTTCCGTGTCGGGTGTTAGGGACACAAAGTCGCTAGCATAAAGAGCTCTCCATCTACCAGGGGGTGCAGACAAATATATAAAAGGTGGCAGTTGCCACTTTAATGGAGGCAGCCACAGGTCCCTGAGCTCACAGGTGTCGATCTTCCCTAGAGGAGTAGTGAAAGGGCCCTGGGAGGAGGTGGTGTCTTACAAGACCACTAGGGTTTGCTGAGCAGAGAAGAAAAGGAGGAACTGCATCCTCAACAGAGGAAACAGCATGGGGAAGGGCCTGATGGCATAAGGAGGCAGCAGTCAGATGAAGAAGGACCTCGAAAATGCCCTGCTCAGAAGCTGGGATTTTATCCTTGGAGCTACTGACGAACCTTAAGCAGGGGAATGGCATGATCATATTCTGCAAGTTTCACTTGTGCCATTTCCTGGTTTGACCCCTTGACATGTTTTATCAGTAATATTCATGAAGGTATCTGCCATCCCAGAGCTTTCATCTATACCAAGAAATTAGATGACAATAATTATTAAAATAATAAAAATCTCATATTAGAGTTATATTGAAATTTCTTTCTTACTTAACAATGAAGTTCTAGAAGACAGACAAGATTTTTTTACTAATGCTTTCCCAGCGTCAACCACACATAATGCCAATATACAGCAGCTTTTCCTTAATAAACATGTGGTAAGTGAATGAATGAATGAACAAATGAAAGTTTGTTCCCACTGCTCAGTTTGCCAAGTACTTTCATACTCAATTAAATCTCTCAAAACTTCTGTGAGGTAGATAATTCCCCTCCTTGCCCTGCCCCATTTTGCACATAAAAAACCTTGGGTCAGAAAAGAAAGACATCTCATAGTGATACAGGGACAATATAAAACAACATGTATGGCAGGCACCATGAGAAAGCACTCACTGCTAACTGGAGTGGCCAGGGAAGGCAGCCTTGAACCTAGCCTTGAAGACCTAGTGTGTGCTCTTGGCCCCACTGGCCCCCACTCAACATCCCTCAATGCTGGAATTTTACCTTATTAATAGTCAGCCCTCAATATCTATGGATTCCACATCCTCAGATTTCACCAACCACAGATCAAAAATATTTAAAACAATAATAATAATAATAAATAACAACAATAAAAATAATACTTTTTTAAAAAATGCAGTATAACAACTATTTACACAGCATTTACATTGTATTAGGTAATCTAGAGATGCTTTAAAGTATACAGGAGGATGTGTGTAGGTTATATGCAAATACTACACCATTTTATATCAGATTAATATCAGGGACTTGACCATCCTCAGATTTGGGTATCTGCAGTGATCTTGGAACCAATCCCCCATGGATACCGAGGGACAATTGTGATTGGTATTGTTTATCGAGTATTTACTATGTCAGGCATTGTGCTGACAGGTTCACATGCATTATCTCATAGTTTCACATGAAAATTAGAATAGTAAATACAGCCACCAGGTCTATTTAATGAATAAGGAATCTGAGATTTGAGATATTACATAATTCGACCATTCTTCTGCAATAAGCAAGCAAGGAGCTGGATTGAAACTCAGGTCTGTTTGACTCCAAAATATTTTTTCTCACAAATGCAGGGCCAAGAGTGATAACCTGCATTTCAAAGCATCATCTATGGGCACAGAAATATGGAAAAATGAGTATAAACACCTTTTCTACCACCATTCCTTTCCCACTCCACAGGGGTGGCATACAATACACCAAGAGCTGGGAGAAGGAAGGACAGTCTGCATTCACCACATAAGCATTAAATAATGAATAGGGCAATGGATTGGAAGTCAAGCTATCTTTGAAATAATGTCAATATATTACTTTTAAGGTGTGGACCTTGGTAAGCCAATTAACTCCTCCGCTATATAAGAAAGGGACCAGAATTGATACATTCTAAAATCATTTTAAACCTGAGTCTCCATGACTCATCTAGATTTTTTTTTTTAGTTTAGTTGAGGCATTTCTAGAATATCTTGCTTACATATTATGTCACAAGACTTGCCTAGCCCATATCTTAGCAGTGTCATATTCCTTTCCCAGGAAATCTTAAGAGGTTTCTAATTGATGACCAATGCTATATTAAAAATCAAAGAGGAGAGTGATTGTTTTTCCACTCTGGCCACAAGAAAAAAAAATCATAATCATCATCAAAATACTGCTCTTTTGTTAAAAAGGGTTAAAAATCTGACTTAAGGCCAGGCGCAGTGGCTCATGCCTATAATCCCAGCACTTTGGGAGGCCGAGGCAGGGGGATCACCTGAGGTCAGGAGTTTGAGACCAGCCTGGCCAACATGGTGAAACTAAAACAAAACAAAAATAAACAAACAATCAAAAAACTAAAAAAAAAAAAAAATACAACATGGTGAAACTAAAAAAAATACAAAAATTAGCCAGCCATGGTGGTGTGCACCTGTATTCCCAGCTACTCTGGAGGCTGAGGCAGGAGAATTGCTTGAACCCGGGAGGCAGAGGTTGCAGTGAGCCAAGATCACACTGCTGCACTCCAGCCTGGGCGACAGAGTGAGAGTCCATCTAGAAAAAAAAAAAAGAAAAAGAAACCTGACTTGAGCACAACGCACAACCTTTTTATCCAGCTACCTATGTGCCCTCTGGCCACAGGGACATTATATTTCTCCCATGGCGGAGTCAGCACCATGGCATAGCAGTTAAAGGGAACCCTCCCTAGGACTCAGATTCCCTCTGTAAAATGGGTATTTTCAAAATGTTTGCTCTGCCTACTTCACAATGCTGTTTTGTGGATAAAAAGAGCTAATGGATGAAGAAGGCACTGGACAAATACAAAGGGGATGAAGATGATTAAGATGATTCTATATGTTAGGGTTCTTGAAAGAAACAGAACCAATAGAATGTGTATACATGTACAGAGTGAGACAGAGATTTATCATAAGGAATTGGCTCACACAATTATGGAGGCAGGATAGTCTCAAGATAAGCAAGATGAGTCCACAAGCTGAAGACCCAAAAGAGCCATGGTTTAGTTTCAGTTTAAGCCCAAAGGCCTGAAAACCAGGAGAGCTGATAGTATAGCTACAGAGCAACGGCCTTCAGGCTTGAGAACCAGAAAGAGCCATTCTTCCTATTTGAATCCAAAGGCAAGGAAAAAGCCAATGTCCCAGTTCAAAGACCATTAGGCAAGAAGAATTCTCTGTTATGCAGGGGAGGGTCAGGGTTTTTGTTCTACTCAGGCCTTCAACTGATTGGATGAGGCTCACCCACATTTGGGAGGACGATCTGCTTTACTCAGTCTGCCAATTTAATTTCATGCAAAAACCCCTCACAGAAACACTCAGAATGTCTGACCAAATACTTAGGTACCCCACAGCTCAGTCAAGTTGACACATAAAATTAACCATCACAATGATGAAAATGTAAGCCCAATGAGGAACCAAAATTTATCTATTTTGTTCCCTACAGCATTCTCAGGGCCTAGGAAAAAATCTAGTACAGAGAAAGAGCTCAAAATATATTGAATAAATGAATGAATGAGTGAATGAATGAAGGAAGGAAGAGGAGGAAATTTGGAAGCCAGTGGAGAAAAAAAAAATCCTAATAAACAACTATTTGCCAGTGACATTTTCATGTATTTAATCAACAACTTAACTCCTAAGTAATTGAATCCTTCCATCCTTACTTCTTTATGAGTTTGGCATTATTATTTTCATTTTTCCAGGTAAAGAATCTGAGGTTCGGAGAAATTAAGTATTCAACAGCTGTATTATCTTTATTCTGCAGCTTTGTGGGTTTACTCTCCTGTCTCACTGCTCATCACAATGTGCAATCATGTAACTGCTTGTTTATCTAACTTTATTATTGCCTCCTGCTGTGGGTTGAATGGGGTCCCCCCAAAAATAATGTCCCCCTGGAACCAGTGGATGTAATCCTACTTCGAAAAGGGTCTCTGTAGACATGGTTAATGATCTCAAAGTGAGATCATCCTGGATCAGAGTAGGCCCTAACTCTAATGATAAATATCCTTATCAGAATAGACAAGGGGAGAGATCCACAGAGAAGGCAGTATGAAGACAGAGATAGACATTGGAGGGATACATCTACAAGTCAAGGAATGCCACCAGAGCTGGGAGAAAAGCATGGAACAGATCCTCCCTCAGAGCCTTCTCAAGGAACCAACCCTGCCAATACCTTAATCTTGGACTCTGGCCTCCAGAACTGTGAGACAATATATTTCTGTCATTTTTAAGCCACCCAGTTGTGGCAGTCTGTTATGGCAGTCACAGGAAACTGATATGCAGCCCTCTATCCCATCCCCCGATTAGATTGTAAGTGCCACAAGGGCAGTCATAAATTCTATTTTGTTCACTGTTTTACACCTAGTGTCTAGAAGTGTCAGGAGCAAAGTAGGAGCTTGGCAAATATTTGTTGAATAAATGAAAGCATGACTAACCAGATTGCAGATGTTTGCAGCCAGAAAAGGCTGCTGAGCAAGGACTCCTGGGTTCTCTATTCTCTTACTGCCACCAGGACATATTCCCTGAGACTAGCATCATAAATTTTGTAAAGTTCATTGTGTTTCTGGAGGCTTTATCCAGTGGAAAGAAAAGGCTGAGGGAGTGAATGTGTGTGGGTGTCCATTTCCCCGTTTTTGAAATGGACATGGGGCCTTCTCCCCAGGAACCTTTGGAGGCTGGCACCATCTTTACTCACCAGCAGGGGTCAGTGGTATGTGAAACAGGAGCTGATGGGGTTCCCTGGCCTGCCCTGGGGAAAATGGCTCTTCCCAGCACGTGAGGCTCCATTCTGGCTGGGCCCTTGGCCTCCAGGTTTCTGCACCCTGTTCCATCTCCTCTTCTCCCTTTCTGCCACCTTCCTTCCACTTGTCCCTGTTTCTCCAGAAGTTACACCAAGGCCCGTTTTGCTGTCCTGCTCACTGGATCCCTCTGCTGAAGAAAAAGGGGTCAAGGATAACCCAGACACATTCATGGGGTGGGCTGCTAGGGGTGCCAGGTAGATGCAGCTGCCCCAAGGTCGGGGACTCAGGAACTTGGGCTCTACGGCATCCCACCCCTTCCTCACATCTGGTGTGCTCTGGCAGAGTCCTGGCTCTCTCCAAGCTGGTCACCAAGACTTTCCTCATACATTTAACCAATCTTTACACAGGACCTCCGCTGACCTGAGCACTTCCTGCATGAAAGGGGCTCAATACCAAGGAAGAAAACAGATACATGCACCCTTTCTAAGTAGCAAAACTGGGTTCAAATCCTCGGCTACATCACTTATGTGGTGAGTTACTTACCCCATTAAGCATCAGTTTCCTCTTCTACAAATTGTGGTAATAATACTTTCCCAGTTTGAAAAGAGGACAAAACAAGATGATGTGTATTAAGGCATCGAGGACAGTGTCAAATATGTAACAAGTGCTCCACTCATCACTTTACCTCCCTTTTTACTCTCTTTTCCAAAAGAGATAATGGATGTTTGCAGTAATTCATTCAGTTCATTAAATTATCTATTAAAATGCCTAACAGTCCTTGGACCCATAAGTGCTTAATTAGTGGCATTTGCTGTTTTTCATCCTTTGAGCAATTATAGCATTAGCGATCACTTGTGATCAGAAAATCAAAGAGCTAAAAGGCAGCTTCAAGAAGATATAGCCCACCCCCATCATTCTTCAGGTGAGGAAACTGAAGTTCAGAGAAGGCAAGGAATTTGCCTGAGGCCATACAGCAAGTAAGCCCAGAATTAGGAAACAGCCTGCTCTTTCACCTGTTGACTCAAACCTCAGCTAGTGCTGATAACAGCCATTCAACCAGTATCTTCTGGTACCTAAAGCACCCAGGGCAGCACTGGCTACTCTGGAGGCCCTAGAGACTTCAAGGGCCCACCAGAAATATGGGCAGATGGAAGAAATTATAAGGCAGGCACTTAGGAAACACTTCCTTTCCAAACCAAATGCATTCTTGCTGCTGCACTATAACATTCATATCCTAAAAACTGTTATTTAACATGCTTTCCACATCTGAATGTGACTCACTCTTTGAAATGAAAATCTGGGTGTTTGGGGTGGTATTTCCCAGTGGCCAGTGGCAGGATAGTGCTTGTGGGCAGTGCCACAGGCAGCCTTGACCTATGGCTGAAGGCTCAGCCTCCAAGGCCACCCGGCAGGCTACAGAGGCTCCAGAACAGGGGCCTTGGCCTTGGGAGCCTTGACCTTGTTGGCAAATGGATCTGTTTCTGATATGGTGTGGCAAATTTCTAAATCTTAGCTGTGGGATGGCATTTGCTTCTTGCGGAATAAGAGCAAGGAGCCCAGGAGGTTCCAATTGATTCCAAAGTAGAACCAGCTGTTGGAATCCTGCAGTGCTGATTAGGGAAGTTCACTTCCAGGTTGCGGTTACCAGTTGACAGAGCCCTCTCTTGCCCCTCACCCCAACTCAGTGCTCTCAGAGAAACCCCTGAAAATAGAAATTGCCGCATCCATTCATCAGGACCTGGAAGCCAGGCAAAGGCAGGAGGAGGGAGGGTCTAGAAACAATAGCTTCCATCTCTTGGGTACCTACTTACTATGTGTCTAACATTACACTTGATACTTTATTATTTCCAATCCTTACAATCATATAGCAACACTGGTATTTCCAGATTTACAAATAAGGAAAAAAGAGATGCAGAGAATAATAATTCTTATTACCTTTATTTTTCTACACAAGTTACTGAGTGCTTACCATGTGCTATGCATTCCTTAAGAGCATTGCACATCATCTTCCAATTTTATTATGACATCAACCGTATGATCCAGTGTCCCCATTTTATAAGTGAGGAAACCAAAGCTTGAAGAAGTTAAGAAAGTTCTCAACGTCCCTCAGCTTGAGAGGCCCAGCAAACAGCTGTCAGCGCCTGAGCTAGGATACAAATCCAAGTCTTCCTGACTACAAATTAGTAATAATAATAATAATAACAGCTAGCATTTGTTGAGAGCTTACTATGTGTCACATACTGTGCTAGGCTTTTTTTAAAAAAACACGTGTTACCTCATTGAATCCTCATGTCAATCCTATACTGTGTGTCACATTTTCCCACTTATATAAATGAAGAAACTTAGGCTCAGTAATTAAGAGAAGCAGAATTCAAATGCAGGCTCATCCGATCCTGAAAGGCTAGTTTTTAGCCTCAACAAGTGTCATGAGGGCTCCTATCACTTGGTTTGAGTTTCCAAAATTTTCCATTCTTTGGTATAATTGTATCCCATTATGGAAAACTGGGAGCTAGCCTCAAACTCCGCTCCACGTTTCATGGTGACTCCTCTGTCATTCTTTCCAATATCAACCTTCAAACGCCAGTGTAAAAATGCATTTGCAATTTGAAACTTACCATGTAAGCTATAAACAGACCATTAGTTGAAACTGATGTTGATTTTGTAGACTATTAAGGATGAAATGGGTTTGAAATTTACTAAGTTAAGGGAACATGAAATTTATGGTTTTTAAATTGCTTTGAGAAGGCTTACTAGAATTTTCCCTTATATAAAACCAGAATGAATAGTACCTTTGACAATGTATACATTCTTTTTTTTTTTACACTCTTAAATAGAGGTCTACTTGGCCTCACAGATATCCTTTAAATCAAGGTGAAATTGCTGCATCTAAAAGGGAATGTACTGACTAATTACATTTATTTTATTTTATTATTTTTAGAGATGAAGTCCCACTATATTGCCAAGGCTGGACTTGAATCCCTAAGCTCAAGTAGTGTTCCCACCTCACCCTCCCAAGTAACTGAGACTACAGGTGCACACCACTGTACCAGCATAATTGCATATCTTATCAATCAATCCACAGCCACTAAATACCTACTGAGGTATCTGTGTCCCCTGGGCTTTTTCCAAGAGCTTTCAATATGGTTAGATTTGTTTATTAAATTTGCATAAATATGTGATATGAGTAGTTATATATTCATGTGATCATTTGTTCATTTGTAAATATTAATTAAATGCCTTTTTGGCACTATGGCAGATACTGGGCATACAAGGATCCTCCAGAACCTCCAAGTCTAGAGGGGAAGCCAGGCAAGTAATGCCATATAGAGGTCACCACTGATGCCACAGGAGAAAATGGAGGCCTCTAATCCAGGCTGGGTACAGGAGAGATCAGGAAAGCATTCTGGGGGAAGTGTCACCTAAACTGATGAACTAAGGATGAGGTGGAGTTAATCTGAAGAGAGAGAGGCAGGAGTTCCAGGCAGAGGGAAGAGCTTGGCAAAGGACTTGAGGGGAGGGAAACAGTATTTGCTAAATGCTGAGAGAATGGAACAGATGGCACTGTCAGAATTTAGAAAGGGGAGGTCCATTTAAATTGGGATGGTCAGGAGAGATTTATTGGAGAACTAAAGCTAGAATGCAGAGATTTTAGGCAGAGGTGAAGGAATGGGGAGGTCTGAGGGAACTGCATAATTAAAGGTACAAAAAGCAGAACTCACAGTCAAGGATGATACTGAAGAGAAGACCCACCATACTGAAAGAAGCAAAGCACACACACCACCACCACCACCCTCACCCTCATCATGGCTGATATGCACAAAGCACTCACAATGCACCTGGCCCTCATTGATACACAATTCTCCAAGATGTCTCAAATTTCTGCATGTTTTGTGATTAAAGGCCTGACTGCCTTTGTTCTAGATATTATTTTCAAGGATGTTTTTACAGGAACAAAGAGAGATAGTGTCTCCCTCTAGAGCAGAGGGTAGGCTTGCTTAAAACAAATTCAAGTTCCTTAAACTTGGGATTCCTCTCCTAATACAACTCTCAAATGCCAGGTGTCATCTGGTCCTCTTCACATTGCTCCATGGGAATTGGAGCCCAGGGGAATAGCATATGGAAACAATGGTTCTGCTGGACATGGTGGCACATGCCAGTAATCCCAGTGACTTAGGAGGCCAAGGCTGGAGGATCACTTGAGGCCAGGAGCCTGAGATCAGTCTGGGCAACAAAGCAAGGCCCTATCTCTTTAAACACAAACACACACACGCACACACACACACACACACACCCCTAGCCAGGTGTAATGACACACTCCTGTTATCCCAGCAACTTGGGAAGCTGAAGTTGGAGGATTGCTTGAGCCCAGAAGCTCAAGGCTGCAGTGAGCTATGATAGCGCCACTGCACTCCAGCCTGGGGAACAGAGTAAGACGCCATCCGTAAAATAAATAAGTAAATAAACAAAACACTAATACTCTGGCTACTGCTAGTTCTATGAGTGATAAAATCTTTTGTCTCCCACCTAGCAGTCATGAAGTGGTACCAGGCTAACCCATTAGTTTGCAAGTGGTGGAAGATCTCAGACCCCTCACAGCTCTTAAAAGTCATGTTCTAAGTACTTTTCCAGTATGAACTCACTTAATCCTCTCAAAAATCCTCAAATATAGAAATGATTACACCCCTATTTGGGCAGGAAAAAATAAAACAGTCCAAAGAGAAGGTTGGTGGTGGATCATAAAGAGTCTCATGTGCCAGGCTAAAGAGTGTTAACTTTATCCATTCAATAGCCATGGAAGGATTTTGAACAGGAGAGGAATATGAGGAAAACAGCATTTTTGAAAAGCTTCTCTGGCCAGAGCCTGTTAGATGGATTGGCCTGGGAGGAAATCCTGTTAGGAAACAAGCTAGCAAATACTAGGAGGCAGGACCAAGATTCAAGACAGGCTTGAAGGATGGGCTAAATGTACCCACAGTGGAATTTCACAAGCCGAAATGTCAGGCCCTGGATAAGGCTCCACCACACCACCAGCTCCAGGAAATGGTTGGGGAGAGGTGACTTAGCAGTGCAGCCCTTGAGAAGGAAGTCAAAGGGACCAAGCAACCTGGAGTGAGTCGGCAGAGGGTGAGTCTGCCAAAAGGGCCACCGTGATCCTTGCATGCATGAGAAGGCCAGTGTCAGGGCCATGAGGCAAGAGTCCAGCTCTGGCCAGCCTCCCCCAAGTTGACTTGCATTCAGTTCTGGTCCCACACTTTGAATATGGCCTCAGAAGATGTTTACTGACCACTTGCTTTGTGCCAGAATGAGTGTCAATCTTTCACATTCACGATCTGATTTAAACCCCCCAAAGGCCAGTGGGGCATTATGGCCTTTCCATTTTATGCATAAAGAAACTGAGGCTCAGAGAAACTTGTCTAACTTCCTAGCTAATAAGTGGCAAAGCCAGGATTCAAACTGAGGTCTAGTGTAGTGCTGAAGACCATTCTCTTAAGCACCATGCTAACTCCTACTTTCTGAAAGATGCTGACAAAATGGAACAAGTTCAGCAAAAATGCTCAAAAACAAGAAGGTAGCTAGGAACCATGACATGTCAAGGGGACAGAGATGATCATGACTGAGGAACCAAGCCACACAAACAGCATGTGAGCTCTTCCCACCTCTAGAGGCTGTCCTGCAGAACCCATGCACACACCTGTGTGGTCCCTCAGAGTCACAAGTACTGAAGAGGGATAAAAATCCCTCTGGGTGGAATTCCCACCACCAATCTCTTTGCCTGTAAAATCCTTGTGCATCCTTTAAAACCAAACCCATTGACTACACCCTCTGAAGTCTTTCCTAACTGCCTGTGTGCTCCTCCTCCATGCTTCCACAAGCCTCTGGACTTCCTTCCATCCACCCTTTCTACCCTGGTTCAATGCCCCCAACCTGGGAATGCCTCAGAGAAGAGGCTGTGTTCAACTCTGCACCCCAGAGATCCACAGGTGCCTGGCCCAGGAGGTGGGTGTTGAATGAAGACAACCAGAGGATCCACTGGTAATAAGAAAGCAAACTATGACCTCTGAGAGACACAGAGGTCATGAAATAGATCCAAGAGCTCTGATGTGCAAGGAGGTAGGTGAAAGAGGGGCCCAAGAGAAAGGCCTGGACCGCACGTCCCTAGTCCTGTCCAAGGGAGAGGATATTCCGGAGGGCAGTGCTATTCCAGGTTTGTTGGGCAGCTGCCTCCAATGACATTCAGGCCTTTACAGGTTGGGGACAGGAAGGAACTATCCATCTTATACAGTCAATGTTTCAACATCTTAACATTCTGCTTCTTACCGGCGACATTCCAGGTAGCAAAAGAGAATAGGGGCCCAGTCACAGACCAGTGTTTCTTTAGTGCCTATAGGGCCAGTATGCCAGGGACAAAGCTCCGCTTCCTCACCGCTGCATGCCTACTTCAAGAACAAAAAGGTAGGCAGAAAGATAGGAAGACAAATAAATAAGTCAGACCTCCACAACTCTACTAAGCTGTACTATATACCTGGCATTGAGAGATAAATACCAAGTAGCATTGTGTAGCCAAGAGTGAACAGGCTGGGAGTTAAGCCCATGTTAGGAGAAATCCCAGCTCCATCCCCTATGAACTGTGGGACATTGGACAAATAACTTGACCTCTTGGAGCTTCAGTTTCCTGTCTATAAGAGGGGGATCGTATGATGCAACCCTCAGTGGATTGGTGTGAAGGTTAAATGAGATGATCCATGTGAAGCATTTAGTAGGTAAACAGCAGGCATGCCCTACATATTCATTCTTTTCCCCCTTGCCTGCCTGCAGCAGGAATATGAGAGAAAGCACAGGACTGATAGGCAGACAGGTGGGTGCAATGAACAGGCTTACCTGATCGACCCCTTAAACTCTCTGAGCTCTCTGAGGTCATGGATGTGAATGTACTTTGTAAATTGCAAAGCACTATACAAATGTAAAGGATTTTCATTACTGATATTAATTCTGTCATTCAGAATATTAAACTTCATGCCTAAAGATATGTCTGAAAACACAAGAGCTGGTTGGAAGTGCCGTAGGATTGGTGCAGGTATGTAGGATTCAATGAGAAGAGGCCATGGTGCACAGTGGCTGGAGGGTAGGCATGTGTAGGAAAAACTTCTTTCCTGGAGGATAATTGGGCTTAATGGGAAGAGCTTGGATAGGCTGACTCAGCCCTCTAGGAGGTATTCCCTGTCTCCCCCAACCTGCATAAACGCTGTTCCTCTGGGTTCCCACAATCCCTGTGCTTCCCTCTTTCAAAGCATACCACCCTGAACTGTAATTGTCAATTTGTGCTTTCATTTCCCCACAAACCATGAGGTTGGGGACAATCTTTCTCCATCCTTGTATCCCTAGTGCCTGGCATAGGGCCCATCCCACAGTGAATGCAGAATAGATGCATTTGAGGAAGGAGCAGAGGGTGAGAGCATAAAACCAAACCAGAAGTCCTGTTTGAACTAAAGCAAAACCCTGGGAAGGTTTTCTGAGCCACCAAAGACCTAACAGCTCCTGGTCCCATAAAGCATTTCATCACATGAGGAGATAAGACCTGGACGGCATCAGGGTTTGGTCCCCCATGTCTCAGCAGCATCACGCCTAAGAGATCCAGGCAGTTTGGCCTGGCTCAGCCTTCTGTAAGCCAGACAAGTGCCATCTCATGGGAAGAGTTTGTGGTCCCCATCCCCTCTGTCTCAGCACTGGCTGCCTTGCCCCTGATGCTGTCTGCCAAAAGGGGCATTTGAAGTCTGGAGAATAGGCACTCAGCAGCCCTTTTCCTCATGAAAGTGCACGTTGAACCTTCTAATTAGGCTTCTCAACACACCTGTGAAGCCACAATTCCCTCCCTACCCTTCCTGCCTCCACTTTTACAGTCAGGAGCTGGGGGTGGGGGGTGCTTTGTAGTGTACCTTTCTTTTTCTGCTCCACAAAGAGAAAAAGTCTAATTTTGAAGACTTTGTGGCTCCTTATCCCGTACTCAGACCCCTACTTACCTGTTTCATAGGGGATCAGGGAGGGGTAATTATTGCTCCTGGGAGCTTTGAAGGTTTGACGTGCTCTGTGGCAAGAGAGGTATCTAATGTGATGATTAGCATTAATAATAATTATTATTAGCAGCAGGACTTAGCTCTTTTGAAAGGGGGAAATATCCTTGCAACTGTTTCCCAACTGCTGAAGCTCCTTCCATTGCTAAATTTTGCTATTAAAGAGGATGACAACATCATGACAGGATATGGTGGGGTCAGGAGCTGGGCCACAGAACTCCTGTAATGGTCACAGGCCCATTCTGGCCAAAGATGGAGAGAGGGCACTGGTAAGCATACATTGTGGGCCTGGCATTTGAATATTCCTTGAGATGCCTAATCTGGACCCTGCCTCCCTTCTACCCCTAGTTCTCTATATGAGGACACACTGGCCCTCTTTTACTTCCCCCAGCATGCTCTTTCCAACCCCAGACTGTTGCGCATGCTAATCCCTCTACCTAAAAGGCCTTCCCCCAACCATAACACTTCACTGAGATGATATCAGTGCATTCTTGGGCCTCTGTTATGTGCTGCTGGATGCTCATACTTCTCTTTTGTAGCACAGATGCTTACTCAGTTTCTGCCTCCCCTGCTGCAGTAAGAAGTATCGGGTCTGGATCAGAGATCACCCATGAGCCAATTCATTTTACTGCATTCTCTGTACTAAGTCTGACAATGTAAGTAGGTGCTTATTCTAGATATTATGCCTAGCCAAACTTCAACTGAGCAAAACCTGGCAAGATTTCCCAAGTGTAAGCAGTGCAAGGTCCCCCATTACACACCCAGGCAGGCCTGCATCTCCAGAGCTGGAGCATCCTGGAAGAAACAGAAGCCTACAGAAGCATCCCCATCACATATATTTTATTGTTTAAATTCCATTGTTGGCTATGAATACAAATGGGCCTGGCCTTGTCTGTCCTTTCTCCACCCCTTGGCCACAGTAGGTGGACCTGAGACCCAAGGTGGGTCAATGGTAATACCCACTCTTAGCCAGGGAGATCTATTTAAGGCATGCACATGTCCCAAGCCAGGCCAATCAAAGGATTTCCATGGGACTTTTCTACCCCGAGCTGTAGGAAGAAAATTTCTTCTCTCTCTGATCGCAAGCTGTAAAAATGGAAGCCTAAACTTTACATATATTATTATACACTATTCTATGTATTCCATACATAAGTTATATTTTACAAATTAAAAAAGACACTACAAAAGCTGGAAGGCAAGCCTGGAGCTTTGGCAATCACATGCTCATCCCATGTAAGGAACTCATGAAGAGAAGAGAACAATTCCAATATGCAGGAAGGCAGAGGTAACAGGCAGGGATGGTGCCCCGTAAGTGCTGGAGACTCGGATCTGGCCAATTCCGATCCACCCCTACCCTTCTCACAATTTATCTGAGCAAATAATGTCTCCTTTTTGGCTTAAGCTAGGTTGACTTTATGTTTATACTTGAACTTACTACCAAGAAATAAAAATAATATCTCATATTTTATTTATGCCCTTTTTTCCACAAAGGATTGATTTAAAGTTAACATCCTTCATTTGTCTTATAATTTCTGATTTATGGTTTATTACTTCACTCAAGGTGATCACTCAATATAGTTTTCTGAGGTGAGCAAAGAAAGTGTAATTCGTTCATTTTACAGATAATCTAACTGAGGTTCAAAGAAGTAAAGGGACTTAGGTCACACAGCTAGCAAATGGAAGAGCCTGGACTAGAATCTAGGTTTTCCTATTTTTCTCTCTATAATGAGAACCTAGAATTTAGGTTCTCTTATTTTTCTGCTAATAGATCATGGCTATAAGCACTAAGAGAGAGGCTGTTGGGCTACTTGGGCTCATAAGATTCTCATACCTTTCTACTGTAGGTAACTATGCCCTTTTAAGAAGCACATCTTCATAGTACAGTAACACTTGCTATAAATATTCCTGAGAAGTAATAAAAAATAGAGGCTATCACAAAGTTTGGGCTTTGTTCAGGTCAAAATAATATGTATATTTAATGTAAAAGAGATGCTAAAATCTTGACTTGTTGTAGCAAGGAGAGGGTGTTCTGGAAGGAAATGTTGGGTGCATTTGGTGCAGAAAACTCCAATGGTGTTGAGAAGAGGTAGGAAGTGAGAAGGAGGGAGCTAGGAAAGTTTTGTCTTTCATCAGCAGAGCTGTAAAAAAAAAGATGGAAAGTTGGAAACCACCGTTATAATGCGAGACAGACCTGAATTCAAATCTAACTTTGACCAGCCACTAGTTAACATCTTGGGCAATCACTGCATCTCTTTATTTCTCTGCCTCTTCATTTGTATAATGAGGATAATAATATCTTCTTTCAAATTTGTGTATGTGATTGCGCATATAATAAAGATGCCCAACAGTACCTGGGACATACTAGTTGGTAGATAAAGTCTTCTTCCCCTTTGTTTCTCTTTCACTTATAGGAGCAATGCTCACATTTTGTCCCCTATAAAGAGAATCAGCAAGAAACACCCATGTGCCCCAGGGGAGGTTAGTACACAGTGCATTGGGATTTGGCAACTGGGCCCTTCACCATGAAGGCCCAAGAGCCTTCCCCGGCCTTAACACCCTTTCTCTTATTCCTTCTCTCATGCTGTTTTACACATTCCAGACTACTTGCCCTTCTTTGGCCAAATCTTTCTCTCCCAACTCCCGTCTCCTATTTCAAAGCACATTGTTTTCCTGGACAGTTTATTTGCTACTTCGGCTTGTCCTGAAAGAGATTCTACTGGCATCCTTTCTACAAAAAGTAAAATCTCTTCCAACAGATAAAAGGGAGGGAAGCAAAAAGTGGGGTGGATGAAGTTTTTCAGGATAGAAAGAAGAGTGGGGAAAATAGAATAGACTTACTGTTTCAAGGACTTTTCCCAAGAAAAATATTTAAAGACATAGGAAAAGACTAGATTCCATTAAACATCATATTTATCAATTACTATATCCAAGTTCTCTATTTTTGCATTCTTTCATCACATATTCCTTTCTCCTGGGTCAAAATGCTATGTAGCCTTCAAGGCCCAGCTCAATGCTTTTTGGCTTATGTAGTTCATGTAGTTATGCATCACTTAACAATGGGGATAAGTTCTAAGAAATGCATTCTTAGGCAGTTTCATCGTTGTGTGATCATAGAGTGTTCTTAACACAAACCTAGACAGTATAGCCCACTACACATGTAGGCTATATGGTATAGCCTATTGCTCCTAGGCTACAAACCTGTAAAGCATGTTACTGTACTAACTACTGTAGGTAACTGTAACACAATGGTAAGTATTTTTCTATTTGAACATATCTAAACATACAAAAGAAACAGTGAAAATACAGTATTATAATATTATGGGACCAGTGTCATATATATGGTTAGTAGTTGACCAAAACATCATTATGCAGCCCATCACTGTATTTGACTAATATAGATTGAATTCCAACTATGTGCCAAACACTGTTGGGGATATAGTGGTGAACATGACTGATGTCATCCCTTCTCTAATGAAATTTGGAGGCTTGCCCTTGTTCCCCTTTAAAAACAATACTCTTGCCTCCTGTGTCTGCTCCCATAACTGCTGTTGCTTCTGTTACAATAATTGCTTTTACATCTTCCTTCCTTCTTTAAAAGCCTGTAAATCAGCATGACCAACTCATTTCAGTTTGCTTGGGAAGTACCATATCCCGAGAAACCTCTCAGTCCCAGGCCAATTAGGACAGTTGCTTACCCTACTAAGTCAATGTTTAAAAACAACAAAAATATTCTCTGAAGAAAATCACTCAATCATTCATTCTTCAAATATTTATTGCATGCCTAATTCCTATATTGTTATAGCTGTTTGCCTGTATTTGATGTTATATCTCTTTTACTATACTGTGAGCCCCTTGGTTTGAAGCCCACATTTTTTTCAATCTTGCATTGTTAGGCCCCAGCACAGTATCTGCTCATAAAAGTCACTTAATTTTATGCAAATCACTGTGGTTTTTATTGATAAACATTGCAAGTTTGTGCAAAACAATTTTATAATATGTGTTCCTATAATTTTTAAACAGCAATTTCTGTCTAGTGACTAGTTTGGAGTGTTCAGCAAGTAATAAAATCCATTAACAATCCCCCTTCTCTTCTAGGCTCCCTCTAGCCCTCTAGCCCTTCCAGCATATAAGGCATCTCTTAGCAGCTGTGGCAGCTTAAAGGCTGAAAATTGCACAAATACACATACCAGGGTCATCCAACCCTAGTTAGGTCTTTAGAAAATTCTAGTTTTTAAAGTTCTTCTGTTAACAGAGTTAAAATCTAAATCTCTGTAGCTTCTACCCACCGGGTTGTGATTCTTATAGTGGAGACAAAAAAAAACCAAACCCAGACTCCTGTGGCTGGAAGCCTTCAAGTATTAGAAGAGTGTTCTCATGCTCTTATCTCTCACCCACCCCATGACCCATATGCACACCTGAGATTTTCTTAGCCATCCTAACAGTTCCCTCAACTGTGGCCAGAGTGATAACGATTTTACAATCCTGGTTTCTTTCCTCTGTATTTGTCCCACTTCACCTCCCTCTTAAAGTGCCTGAATCCGAATGGTTCTCTAGATTGTTCTGACAAGTAAATTAGAACTATCACTCTCACCCTGTACCTATTTTAAGAAATAGGTTAAATGATTGCTGGCTGGCTGGATGCATGTACAAATTCACTATGTGGGTGGAGCAAAATAAAGATAGTTAAAACCACAATCATAAGAAATAAGAACATTGTATTGGGTGAGTAGTGTCTCCCCAAAATTTATGTCCACCTGGACCATCAGATATGACCTTATTTGGAAATAGAATCATTGCAGATATAATTAAATGAGTTAAGCTGAGGTCCTACCAGATTAGGGTGGGCTCTCATCCCATGACTGATGTCCTTGTAAGTGGAGAAATGGAGAAGACATATGTGTGCAGAGGGAAGACAATGTGAATACACACAGGGAGAACACCATGTGATGATGTAGAAGCCACTGGAGAGCTGCAGCTGCAGCCAAGGGATGCCAAGAAGTGCCAGCAACCACTGGAAGCTAGGAAGGGGCAAGGAAGGATTCTCCCTTAGAGCCTTCAGAGGGAGTACAGTTCTACTGGTTCCTTGATTTCAGACTTCTAGCCTCCAGAAATGTGAGAGAATAAATTACTGTTGTTTGTCATGACAGCCCCAGGAAACCAGCGGCCTCCAACCTTTTTGGCACCAGGGACCAGTTTTGTGGGAGACAATTTTTCCATAGATGGGGCAGGGGGTGGGGGGTGGTTTCAGGATGAAACTGTTCCACATCAGATCTTCAGGCATTAGATTCTCATAAGGAGTGCACAATCTAGATCCCTGGCATGCAAAGTTCACAACAGGGTTTGTGCTCCTAGGAGAATCTAATGTGGCCACTAATCTGAGAGGAGGTGGAGCTCAGGTGGTAATGCTTGCCCACTACTCCCCTCCTGGTGTGCAGCCCAGTTCCTAACAGGCCACAGATGGGTACTGGTCTGCATCCTGGGGGTTGAGAACCCTTGTATTAAATGTTTAACTCTTCCTTTTTGTACTTATCCTGAAAGGACGTCTTGAGATTATTGGAAGAATATTCAACAAAGTTAGAAGACCCGGGTTCAAATCATGATTTTACTATTCACCAGTTGTATGACTCTAAAAAGTGACCTCATTTCTTTGATCCCCAGTCTGATAGAGATATAAACATACAACACAGAGGATTAATTTAGGGACCAAGAGTGATAAGAAATGAGATAGTGTTTTACAAACTATACAAGCTTTTCAGATGTTAATTATTTGATTGTTTTTCCTCTCTTTTCTTCTTCAGTTGGCTTTCCAGAGGTTTGTTTATTTTACTTTTTCCCCCAAAGAACCGGCTCATGATTTATGAATTCTACTACTTTAATTTTATTGATATTCTAATTATTTATTATCCTTGCTATTTTTTAATTGCTCTGCTTTTCTTGGTTTTGTTTTGCTGCTCATTTTCTAAATTCTTAGGTTAGACATAGAGTTGCTTTATTTTTACTTATTTTTAAGTGCAAATATAAAAGCTATGAATTTACCTCTAACTATGACTTTGGCTGCATTATATACATTTTCATATCTTGTGTTCTCATTTTATTCTTTTCTAAATAGTTCACATTTAGGTATTTTTAAAAACTTCTTATTCTGAGTTATTATTAGCATCATCCTTACCCTAAGCACTATGAATTGGCCTTACTGATCCAGGAGCTTTCATTGTTGTTATTATTATGTAGAAGATTGAATCACAATTTCCTATGAACAAATTTCTCTCTGACATTTTTTAAAACAAATACATCATGGCTGAAAAGAAAAGTAAAGATTTTTATTTTCTCATCATAAAAGCATCAGCCATAGACTATTAGCAGCTTTCTGGATTCAGACATTTTTCAGTGGATAAATTACTAGAATCTTCTTATATCTTCCTCCTATTCCACAAAGAACTAAAGAAATCAACAATCTTGCTGAAAAGGGAAATGTTACCAGCACTACTCAATGGCCCTGACTTATGAATTAAGTTCCCAGGGTTATAGTCTAAACATCAGTCATTTTTTAAGGCTTAAAACAAGATCCAATTTTTCTCTGAGACCTTCACAAACCAGCTCAACACAGAGGAGTCTTTCTTTTCCCAAATCGTATATTTTGCCCACAAGTCTAAGACTTAGCTCTAACTCCCATACTAGATAGGAAGTTCCTTGAGAGTAAGATTATGTCTTATAGTTCTTTTCAGCCCTTCTTATAACCTCTAGCATCTCACTTCTTGAATTACATAATATCAAACAGTAAATGCTATGATTAGTTACAATTCTTACAGGACCTCTCCTGGGAGAAAGTGTAACTTTGAAATTTTGGGCCAGAGATTTTAAAACAGGCAAGTGATAAAATCAAGAGCCATTTAAAACCCTTCAAAATGCTTGAGGTGAATACCTTGGATGCCTGCTTTGAGGAGAAAGAACATCCCAAACATTAAGGAACTACAGTTTTGAACACTGTGAAGAAGCCAAAATGACATATTGATATTTATATAACAAGAGCTACATGTGAGCTCATGTTTCACCAAGTATGGTGGTGATGGCAATATGATACAAACAATAATGTTGCACATGTGTTAAATACTTTACAGTTCACAAAACTCTCCCCTGTGTGAGGTCATCTGATGCTCAAGGCAAACCTGAAAGGAAAGCAAGGTAGGGACAATTATTCTCATTTTGGAAAAAGGTTATTTGGGATTCAGAAAAGATTGGCTAATCTGCCCAAGGTCACAAAGCTAGTAGTTAGTTGGAAAAGAACTAAGCCGAGATCTTCTGATTCTCAGTCCTATATTCTTTGGGCTACCCTTACTCCAAATTGACTTGGGAACTCTTGAGATAAACATCAGTCACCAACTTCAACATCTAGATATTCACTCATGAAATACCCTTGGGATAGTCACGTGCTCTGAGATACCAGAGGTAAAAGACATAGTCCCTGCCCTCAAGAAGCTCACAGACATGTAACCTGATCATTATAATGCACAGAAGAAAGCATAATTTCTGCAAATGCTGTGAAAGAATTAAAATAGCTAATAAGACTAGTAATAAGTAACACTTACCGAGCACTTACTATGTGCCTGTTTCTGTCCTAAACACTTTGCATGTGGAGTGGGTAACATTATGTACCACAATGCCTGGCTCATAACAAGAGCTTAAGAGTTTAAGAATTGCCAACTGGCCGGGCGCGGTGGCTCATGCCTGTAATCCCAGCACTTTGGGAGGCCGAGGTGGGTGGATCACAAGGTCAGGAGTTCAAGACCAGCCTGGCCAACATGGTGAAACCCCGTCTCTACTAAAAAAATACAAAAATTAGCCGGGCATGGTGGCATGTGGCTGTAATCCTAGCTACTTGGGATGCTGAGGTGGTAGAATTGCTTGAACCTGGGAGGCGGAGGTTGCAGTGAACTGAGCCACTGCACTCCAGCCTGGGTGACAAAGCAAGACTCTGTCTCAAAAAAAAAAAAAAAAAAAAAAAGAATTGGTAACCAACCATCTTTATTATTATATTTTTAAATATAAAATCAAGGATTATTATCTTTAAAAAAAAGAATATTTAAAATTGAAATTATCCAGGGCAATATAGTAGGGGAGCAAATAATCAACCAACAGGGAGAAGTTGGAGCTGGGTCCTAAAGAATAATAAAGGGCTCACAGACAAGGAGGGAAGAACATTCCGGGTAGAGCGAGCACACTTGCAAAGACTTGGGGCCTGAACAAGTCTAGGGAAGGGTGAGGCAGGGAGGGGAGGCATTGCCCTCTGGGCAGCCAGGACAACATACAGAAGAGGAAAAGGAGGTGGCCTCCAGCCAGAAAGCAGCAGGTGGGGCGGGGTGGGGGCACTCCCTGTGCCTGACCCAAGCACCGAGGGTGAGGCACTGATTTTCCAAGGCTATTTGTTTGCAGGTTACATTTTTCCTGAAAAGAATCCAAATGCTTTTGTTTTCACAGACAATTCTAGACTTCTTGGTCCAAGGGCTTTCCCTGAGAAATATCCTAATGGCTGTGGGCCAAGACAGGGTTCCACTAAGCCCTGGACTCACAGCATAACAGTGTGGCAGGCTGGAATCTTCTTCAGAACCTGTAAGGAAGTGGAAATTCAGTCACTCCCTGGGAGATTTGTAAATATAAGTAATATGCCCTGTTGGTTCTGCCCCAACCAAACCCTCCTACTTGAGATCCTCTGAATATGGCCTGCAGTGTGGAACCTCTATGCCTAATAGGTCCCTTCCTCCTCTTTCCTGTTTGGCATGGTCCCGAACTTCCTGCAAGACCAGCCTCAATATTCTTCCTTTTGAGCCTTTTCTGGCAGTGGTGGCCCCAAATCCTGGTCCCAACACCAGGGTGGATGGGTAGCTTTGACTTCAGTGCTCCTAACGGAGCCATGGATGCACCTCTACTTACAGTCATCTCATTGCCTTGGAATTAAGCACCCCATCTCCCCTACCCTACCACCCCCTGGCCTCCACCTGTAAGCCAGTGTCAACCAAGGTTGGGGAGGTAGAGAGCAGTCCACCTGGTACAGGTTATATATAAAGGCATGCATTATCTGTAGCAAACTTTAAAAAAAGAAGAAATTTAACAAAAGTCAGTCTCTTTGTTCATTGTCACATGTGCAGGTAATTCTGAATAATGTCAGGGATAAAATATTCTCCCTCGCAAGGGCAAATGTCTCTTTCTCACACCACTTGGTGTTTTGCTCCTGTGGATACTTCCCAGTTTCTTCTGTTCAGGAAAAGACGATGCTATTAGCGATAGAATGGAACACTGGGCGGAGGCTTTAGTCAGTCAACAGTTGCTCACTAAGACCTAGTATGCACCAGGTACCATGCTAGCCATTTTACAAGCATTATCTCTGCTCTTCCTAACAATCCCTAAACGTATGCATCTATGCATGCATCTCTGTTGGGTTATTTGTCAGATGAAGAAACTGAGTCTCAGTATCATTAGATGATTTGTCTAGGGTCCTACCATAAGAAACTCAAACCTAGATCTGGGTAGCCCAGAGTTTAAGTTCATTCTCCTGTGGTTCACCGCCTCCCCTCTGTGAGCCCCTAGAACAGCATGTCTACTCAGTACCAGGGGTTAGAACTGCAAGCTACACATCCTTTCCTTAAGGAGTCCACAGCTTAATGCAGAAAGGAACTCATGCAACTCAGCATGATTCAGTTTAGCATGTGACGAGTGGTTTTAGAAATAAAACAGACCAACCCCCAACTACTGCAGCCTTAAAGATACAAGGGGAGAGGAGAGTTGTCAAGAGAAGTAATTAGCACTGATTGAACTCACAGCAGATGCTGTTTTGGATACCACACACATGCTCTCCTACTTGAGTCTTACTACAAACACCTCTGAGGTGGATCTTATTTTTCTGAGTTCTCAGATAGTGCTCAAACAGGTTAAGTGACTCAGCCGGGGTCACACAGCAGCTAGTAGCTGGTAGAACAGGGATTTGAGCAGAGGCCTCTCTGACTCAGAAGCCCATGCTCTGGCCACAGCAGCCCCCTAATGAAAAGGGAGTGAACGTGTTCACCATGAGTTCTGCTCAGGGACTAGGGAATATACTAGTGACCAATAGGATAAGGAAGATTAAAAAATAATAACATAAAAAATACTTTTTTGGTGCTTTACAATTTACAAGATTCTTTCTTATCCATTATCTGATTGCATCCATATGAATTTGGCAAGGCAGGGGCTATCTCCATCTACAGATGAAAAAACAGAGGCTTTAGCAAAATTATACAATTTTCCTGAGATCCTATGAATTAGATGCAGAGTCTGGAATGACTTTACCAGATTTACTCCATGAATTACCACATGTAATATACAGGTACATTTGATTAGCATCTGAGTCTTAAGACAACCTAAAGAAGTAGGCTCGACAAGTCTAACCCTCCTCACATTAAAGACAAAGAAATGGAATTTGGAGATGGTAATGAACATACCCAAGTGGTGGAACTGGAACTAGAACTCATGACCTAAGATGAGCACAAACTTTTCCTCTTTATCATATGATGTGGAAAAAAATTATTCACTTATTCGTTCAGCACCAAACTTGGGCAGGGTTGCCAACCACCTGAGAGTGGGCTTGTCCCTAAGAGCCCTTCCTTCCTCTAATAGCTCTCAGATCCACCACTAATCCACCATCAAATTTTGATATGAAAACACAACTAACTCTCTTAGACACTCTAGTCTGTTTTACCAATAAAAGGCAAAGAATGATCAAATAGTCAACTCTGCCCCCAACATAACTGCATCTTAAATAAAGTTGGGCTTATTCTCCCTTCCCCTATCCTTTTATAAAGTTCCCCTCCAGTTCTAAATAAAAGTGTAAAATTGCTCCTCTGCAAATGAATTTCAAGGTCTCCACATCAAAACCCTGTAAGAAATAAAACAAGCAAAGTAAAGGCTTGAATGATTACAAAGCAAGAATATCAATTATGCACTGTCCCACCAAATTAGTTCCTGAAAAACAGAAACTCTCATTTCCATTGTTTCAGAAACACTGTAGAAAGACAAGGCAGTATGGTGGGAAAAGTCTGGGCCTGGGAACTATGGAGTGTTCCAGGAGACCTGAGGCCCAGAGACATTAAGTAACATGCTGAAGGTCACACAACTTCCCAACGGAGCTGAAAATGAAGACAGAATCTGAATTCATGTCATTCTGCCTTCACATTGCTTCCCTGCCCTTTTCGAGTAAGCTGCATGGTGATCTACCCTCAAAGCTGAGTAAGAGCAAAGCCAAGAGGTGGTAACTATGTGCCTAGGGGCCTAGAGCTCCTGGCTATCCCTAACTGTCCTGGGTCCTATAATCATTATGGTGTAATGAATGAGAACATCATGAGGCAAAAGAACTTCCAGATCATCCTCTTTGATTCTGCTTTATTCTATCCGAATCAGACAATGTCACTGTTCCACTCAGATTTCAGTGGGATTCCTTTTAATTGTTTAGGGGGTAGGGGGCTCCAATGTGCCTTCGGTGGCCAGTGCCAGCAGCTCTTCTTGGGTGGACTGTTAGGTGCTGTGGCTCTCCAGCCTTGGGCGAGGATAATCCTGAGGTTTAACCCACACTCCAGAGTCCTCAGGCAGGATCAAGCTGAAGCTGCCCTCCGCAAGTGGCGTCTTAATACCATTCCCCAAATTACAGTGAAAGTAACTTTTACATTTCAGTGAAAACAACCTTGGGATGGATGTGACAGATTCCTTTTTAAGGAATAAACACCAACTTACCACCTGTTTTACACTCAAGAAATCACTCTTTGTTCTGTTTTGATTATTTAAACTCATTTAAAAGATCACATTGTTCTTATATTTTGCTCCATAAGCCTTCATTTTGTTGCTGACTAAAAGCAACAAAAGTCTGATCAAGGTACTCAGCCTAATCTTCTGGCTGATAGTCTACGTTCCATTCATTCATTCACAGCTGGCTCAAGCTTAGAACCAGCTGCACTGGCTGATCTAGTCACATCTACCAAATTATGGTCTGACCTTAGCAACCACCCTGGGAAACAACCTAGGGCCTACCTCAGCCACTGTCCATGCTGTCACTCCAGCCATCTTGCTGTTCCTCTCACGTACCCAACTTGTTCCCACCTCAGGGCATTTGCACTTGCTGTTTCACCTGCTTGGAATACACTTGCTTCAGACCTTCTCCTGGCTCCCCTCCTCACTGCATCAGAGCTCTGCCAAATGCCACGTCCTCAAAGATCCTTTCTTGACTTCGCCATGTAAAATGATCTGCCCATCCCCTACTCTGTCTTTTTATATCTTTCTTCATAATATTTATTACTATCTGAACTGATATAGTTATTATTTACTTATTTATTGTCTTTCTCCACCAGGAGAATGCAAACTCCAAGAGAGGAGATATTTTGTCTGCCCAGTTCATTCTTATCTAAATGGTGCCCAAAATAGCACCTGGGAGAGGGCAGGCACTTGATATATTTTTTGAATTAACAAAAAATGAAAGAATAGCACTTCTCTTCTTCAGCCTTTTATTTGTGAAATAAAACTTTTCCAGAGAAAGATTGAAAAGGCTTGGAAACTGGGAGATCTTTAGCTTTAATCCCATGGGTAAGTCTCTTATGTTACCTATGGATCAAGAAACTCTCTGCCTCAAAAACCTGCAGTGGCTCCCTGTTGCTTCAACAGAGGACAGCTGTCTGTGAGAGTTCGCAGTCTAAGTAAAAACTCAAGACCACCTAAAATAAAATAATCTGACAATGACGTTGTGTGTGTGTGTGTGTGTGTGTGTGTGTGTGTGTGTGTGTGTCATAAACATTTACTGAGTGCTTGCTAAATGCCAGGCACTCTTGAAAGAATACAAAGATATGGATCCACCCCAACCACCATCATTTTGGTAGTAGTAGAGTGAGATATCCAAGGAGGTCATAGGCGATTAAGAAAAAGAGACTTAGGTTGGGCGCAGTGGCTCACACCTGTAATTCCAGCATTTTGGGAGGCCAAAGCAGGTGGATCATCTGAGGTCGGGAGTTCGAGACCAGCCTGGCCAACATGGTGAAACCCCTTCTCTACTAAAAATACAAAATTAGCTGGGCATGGTGGCGCATGCCTGTAATCCCAGCTACTTAGGAGGGTGAGGCAGGAGAATCGCTAGAATCGGGGAGGCAGAGGTTGCAGTGAGCCAAGATCATGCCACTGCACTCCAGCCTGGGTGACAAGAGTGAAACTCTGTCTCAAATTAAAAAAAAAAAAGGAAGAAAAAAAAGGAAGAGACGTGTAAAGAATATTAAAGTGTTAGCAAATGCCAAAAGATAATTCTACATGGGTACATGGGCACGTGTACAAAAGGAATCAGTCCCCTTCATTTGGATATAGGCAGGAGTCCAGAAAAGCTCCTAAAGTAAGCTGCATTTCAGCTGAAGCTTGGGGAACAGGGGCTCCCCAGACAAGCGGGGAGGAGCGGTAGTGAGGGTGTTCCACGGAGAGGAAAAGCCTGAGCAACGGCCAGGAAGGAGGAGGACACATTCTGGAAACTAGAGGTGATAAAGTCAGTCCGAAGTGTGGACTGTGAGCTGGGGTTCAGTAAGAGACCAGGCTATGAAGTAAGCAGGGTGTTTACAGAAAAGATACCACACTGGAGTCAGGCAGACCTGAGTTCAAGAGCTGACCATGTCACAAGCTAGTCAGTCAGTCCGCTCTGAGCTCAACTTCCTTGGAAGTCAATGACTAGGAGGAGGGGGGCAAAGGATCACCAGCTCTCCAGTGAGGTTGGTGGAGGCACGGAGCTGGAAACAAAAGTGCTGGAAAGACTTGTTTTGTTTCAAAACAAAATACTGAAAATGTCCCCTTGCTTTGATTTGTTTTGAATCATGATATTTTGCTTATTTTGAATTTGAAACTCATTAAAAGAGGATGTAAGGTTTTTGTGTTTATCTAGGGTGACTTGGATTATAAAAGAGGCAGAGAAACTCTGGGTGAGGCGATCTTAAAGTCCCCTCTGATCCTCACCTCCAGCTCTAAAATGACTGACATTTGGGCATACAGGGAAAAAGCAGAGAGGTGCAGCGAATCAGATACTGAACTTGAAGTCAGACCCAACTTCTTCCAACTCAGACTTTGCCACTCACTTTCTCGGCAAGTTAACAAGCGTCTTGGAGTGTCAGTTTCCTCTTCTATAATATGATCTTTTCCTCATAGCCTTATTTTGAGGTTTATTTGAAATAATGGATTTGAAAGCAACTGTCACATAGTAGGTGCTCAATAAATGTCAGCTGAGTATACTGTCTTTGTTCTCTCCATATCCCTGTCTCTAATCATAATAGTTTCCTTGTGAATACCTACCATCTGCTGAGTGTTGTCCACAGGCTATCTCTTTTACAAGCAGAAATTAATGATTTAATTCTTTGTTGTCAGTTGAGTTCATTGAATTGCCTCAAGGCGGTTCTGACCCTCAGAATAGAGACACAATGTTTGATGGGAATTTAGGGTATTCTGTCTGGAACTACACAGGTTTAAAATCTTTTGAAATTTAAAGTGGCTTTTTATTACTTTGGAAACCTATCCACTGCACGTTTTTATTTCTAACCATTATCCGTTTTCTCCCTTACTTTCCACATTTAACTCAAGGCTTCAAATACAAAAGCCAAGTTTGAAATAATCACAACATTTAAGCAATGAATGTAATGACAGCTTATATTTCCATGGCAGGAAGATGTACACTATATTTAATAGCTTTAGCCATTTACAGCAAAAATTACCACGGGGACTCCAAAGACAGAGGGTAGGAGGAGAATTCTGGGCCTTTGACTAAAGATGCCATAGTCATAAGCTGTTTTGGAAATGATTAAGTGATAAATACAGTAAATTTACCCTCAATTCTGGGAACCCCACAGTGCAGACATAATTCTACAGAAACAGAATTACTCTGCAAAGGCAGAAGTAATTATTATTATTGTTAAAAGGTCTAAACCTTAAGCCTGTGCTGTTTTATTCTCTTTAGCTGGAAGATCACTAAGTACACAGACGAGGGAACTTAGGTATGTGGAGCATCTATTAGACACCAACTTCTCTATCACTTAAAACCTAACCTCCCTCCACATTCCATGTAAGCACTTGGAACTGGACCCCCAAAAATTACAGTGAGGGAAACCAACAATCTTGAATATCTACGGTGTGCAAGCCACCTTATTATATAAAATATAGCATATGCATGCAATGCTTAATCATATATAAGGAATGCCAATAAGCTCAGAAAGGAACCCCTTGCCTTTGTTGAGGAGGCAGCTGTGTGTGGTATCATTCCTGGCTGCATGCCCATTGCCTAGCATTGTGTCTGATACATCCTGCAGGAATTAAGAATATGGAATAAGGAGCCAAACTTTGTAGATTCAAGTCCTACTTAGTAGCTGTGTGACTTTGGGTAAGTCATTTAACTTCTTCGTTCCTCAATTTCCTATTTGTGAAATGGGATGCTCTTAATACCTCTCTCATACTGTAATTGTAGAATTAAATGAGTTAATAAGGGTCAAATGCTTAAGACAGTGCTGGCAAACAGTAAGAGTTGCAAACATCATCACTTGTGGAATTGCTGGATAATGGGGACCTCACCATCACCCTGTGACATAAAGTGTAATAAACTCCTTTTTCCAGGTGGGGAAACTGAAGAAAGTACACCTGCCTGGTCATCCAGTTCTTAAGTGGCCTAAACAAGATTCCTACCTAGGCCTAACTAACACTAATAACAAAACATAGCATTTAATTAGTTTTTTTTCAAATGTTCTAGGCCTTTACAGATAGGCACATATTTACTTCTCACAACAATTATATGAGGTAAGTGTCAGTAACTCACATTTTACAGATGCAGAAACTGAGACTGAGGTTAAGTAATTTTCCCAAGGCCATATAGTCAGCAAATGTCAAGTGTGGGTTGTTTTGTTTGTTTTATATATTTTTTTCAACTTTTATTTTACTTTATTTTGAAACGGTGTCCAGCCCAGTGCCTAGGCTGGAGTGCAGTAGCAGGAACATGGCTCACTGCAGCCTCGACTTCCTAGGCTCAAGCAATCCTTCTGTCTCAGCCTCCTATGTAGCTGGGACCACAGGTGCACGCCACCATGCCTAGCTAATTTTTAAATTTTTTGTAGAGATGAGGTCTCACTTTGTTGCCCAGGTGGGTCTCAAACTCCTGGCCTCAAGCCATCCTCCCCCTTCTGTCTCCCAAAGTGCTGGAATTAAAAGAGTGAGCCACTGCACCCGTCCCAACTTTTATTTTATAATTGGGGGTACATGTGCAGGTTTGTTACAAAGGTATATTGCCTAATGCTGAGGTTTTTAGTATAATTGAGCTTGTCACTCAGATAGTGAGCATAGCACCCAAGAGGTAATTTTCCAGCCCTTGCTCTGCTCCCTCTCCCACTAACTCTAGTAGTCCTCAGTGTCTATCATGTCCACCTTTATGTCCATGTGTACCCATTGTTTAGCTCCTGCTTATAAGTGAGGATATGTGGTATTTGATTTTCTTTTCCTGATTAGTTCACTTAGGATAATGGCCTCCACCTGCATCCATGTTGCTGCAAAGGACACGATTTCATTCTTTTTATGACTGCATAGTGTTCCGTGGTGTGTATGAGCCATATTTTCTTTATCCAATCCACCATTGACAAGCACCTGGGTTGATTCCAAGTTTTTGCTATTGTGAATAGCACTTCGATGAACATAGGGATTCATGTGTCTTTCTGGAAGAACCACTTATTTTTCTTTCGGTACAGACCCAGTAATGGGATTGCTGAGTGGAAGGTAGTTCAACTCTGGGTACTTTTAGAAAACCCAGGCCAGAGAACCTGACTGTCCCCTACATGGAAGAAAAGGGCCAGGTCTCTGGAACCTGAAATTCAGCTAGCTGAGCTGCAGATCTGGCTGGCGTTCCTATGGCCAGAACTTGGACCTGAGGACTGTACGAGGACTGAGGATTGAGGCTGGGTCTCTGGGGCCGCCTGGGGCTCTGGGGCCGCCGGTGGGTTAGCGGGCCTGGAACACGGGTGTGGCCCGCAGCGCCAGTTTACAACGGCCGGCAGGACCGCAGGGAGGAGCAAAAGCAGGAAGTGCCGCGCGCGCTCGCACCGAGGGAACCCCGGCGGCGCCCCGCCTTTGCCGGCGTCTGGGCTCTGTGCCCGCCGCCCTCCCCGGCCGTTCGCCCGCGAGTCCCTTTCGCTTTTAACCCCAGCCGCGCTGATTGCCTGCGATTACTCAGAATCGCCCCCACTTGGCTGGCTGAGCGACAAAAATCAGCAGTAGCTGTCCGAGGAAAGCTCTTCGCAAACCGGCGCCCCCACCCAGCGGAAACACCCCAAGCCGGATCCCAGAAATCTCAGTCTTCTCCCAACCCCGGCTCTGCCTCTCTCTCTCAATGGGACTCGTCCGGGTCTCAGTTTGCCCATCTGTGCAGACGGTGTGAAGAATTTCTGCACAATCGAGAAAAAAAGGTGTGGAAACAGCCGAAAATAATTTTGATCCGAAATAACTTTGAGAGTTTTATAGTCTAATCGATTATTGTTTTAATAAGAATCTGTATTTTTTCATGCAAAAAGGAGTTTAACTGTCACCCAGGAAAATTCGCCTGTGGTTGGAGTTGCCCTGTGCGACACGCCCAGGGAAGCGCTGGAATGTCCCTTTCCGCTCCCATCTGTCTGTTAACCTGTAACCCGTTGTGCATGTATTTGATTCTTCCCGGTTAGAAGTTTTACAATCTCGGTGACGATAGGTGGGTTGGGGAGAGACTGGGTTTTGCAGCCAGATATTGGGTTACAATATCTTGCTGTACCATTTTTTTGCCTGTGGGACCTTGGTCAAGCCATTTCAACGTGCCGAGCCTCAGCCTCCCTTCTATAAAATGGGAAGAAGGAATCTCCTGCAGGGTTTCTGGGAAGATTCGGGCTGCTGTCTCTCTAGGGCCTACCATGTTCTGAGTGATCAGTGGAGAAGGGTGCTCATGGGTGGGGACTCCGACGGTCTGAGCCTGGATTTCTTCCACCTGCTCCTCCTTTTGGCCCCGTGGCTCCCCGGCCCTGCGAGAGGGCTGGGGCGTGGCGGGCTCCGAGCCTCCCGAGGCCTGCGTAGCGGCCGTAGCACCAGTTCCCGCCTCCCCCGCGGCCCGGCGCTGCGGGCGGGACCTGCGGCGACCTGTGGGCGGAAGTCTGTGGCTTTATTTACACAGAGGGCAGCCCGTGGAGGCTAGCCTTGTAAGGACGAATCGCTGGCGGGCCTGTGGGGGAGGCCAGGAAAGGCGGCCTTCGCCTGATAGGAATCTGTGAATAAATAAATACGTGAATGGAAGAATGCATTGAAATTCCCTCCTAGGATCACAGAAACGCATTCCAAAGGCAGCCTCAGAATCCGCCCACTCGCCCCCATCCCATTTGAGGATCAAATGATTCAAATGAGTTATTGCCAGGCCAGGCCTCCTGCCTCCCAGACCCCGCCGTCCTGGGGCTGCCTTTGGGGCGCGACTTCAGGGCTAGGAGTGAGATCTTGGGGCTAAACAAAGGGAAAGGGAACCCCGCTTTGCTCAGCACCTGCCATGTGCTAGGCACCTTTCCTATGTCACTTCATTGACTTTCATTCCCACGACGCTTTGGGGTAGGCACCGTCTTCCCACTTTCGTCTGGGAAAACTCTGGGTCAGATAGAAGTCACTCGCCCAAGAACAAAAGCGTGTGGGTGGAACAGCTTGGATTCAAATACAAGTCTGTCCTGAGCGCCTTTCACGCCACCGCGGGGCCCGGAGGAGGCGCAGGGGCCAGGAAGAGAAAGCGCGCTGGCGAGGACAGGGGAGCGGCGCGACTGCCCAGCTGCGTTTCCGGGTACCACCCCTTCCCGCGGTGTCCTTCGCTTGCCCGCTGGATCGCCAAAGCCTCTTCCAGCTCCACCCGTCAACTCATTCGCCGCCGCCCGGCCCGCTCACTCTCCTGATTTAGCAGCCAGAAGCCCCACGCCCGGTGACCACCGACCCAGAGCCCCTGGTCATGTCATAGCCAAAACCAATGTAGTCCTGGAGGACTTACAGGTGCACCCAGGGTGCGTATTTCTCCTGCCTCCACCTGAGTCCCGGCTCCGCATCCGGTCCTGGAGCAAAGGAAACTAACTGGTCTAGGCGCCTCTTTTCCCGGCAGGGCCCCACCCACGCCCACCCTGCCGAGGCCCCAAACAGGTTTCTTCACTTTCCCTGGCCCAGCTCCTGACCCGGGGCAGGAAGGAAGCCGGTTGCTCAATGTGCTGGAGGCTAGTTTTGGTTCTCAGGCCACCTATTGACCAGCCAATCAGTCAGGTGGGCCCAGCTCAAGCCACCCTGCAGGTACAGTGACTTGAGCACCTAGGACCACTCAACAAATCCTTAGGGGTCCTCACGCAACACAACACGTGGGCTCTATGTGCAGCCTGTGAGCGCCAGATCCCTTGGGAAAAATGAGCTGGATGAAGCCGGCCACCCCAGCCCTCTGGGTCCATCCTGCAGGCTTGCCCCAGGGCAACACACTGACCTCTTGCTGGGCCTCCATCACACATGCATCCACTGACCTTGGAAGACTTTCCAGAAGCCCCAGCTCGTTTGCTTTTAGATCTCTTGGCCAAGAGGACAGCATGGGCAGAAAATTCAGACAATGACAGGAGGAATTTATTCACAAACATTTACTGAGTGCCAGCCATTGTACTAGACCCTGGGGATACCAACGCAAACCAAACAGTCCCTTCCCCCACGTGTCCCCATCTAATGAGGAGTCAGGTAACAGGTCATTTTAAGAGGATGCCATGAGCCATTTCCCAGAGTGCATCTGGAAGAAGACCCTGAGTTGGTGGGGTGAGGAGTAGGGAGGCATCTGGAAAGACTCTCAGACTTCAAACACTGCCCCTTTCCTTCCTTCTTCCATCTTTCTACACTCATTTCTGGAGTACTGCATCAAGCTAAGAGCTCAGGGAGCAGGAGGTGGTTTTCAAAGGAGAACAAGTCATGGTGTCACAGTGTTGTGGTTAAAATGCCAGCGCTCCAGCTACAGCCACTTATTCTGTGCCTGTGGGTGATTCACATAATCTCTCTGACCCTTGGTTTTGCTATCTGTATAATAGGGATAATTGATAATATCTACTTCACAGAACAAGGCCCAGCCCAGGGTAGCCATTAATTAATGTAGTCTTATATTATTTTGTGGTGGTTCACACTTTTCTGTTTCTTACAACAACCCCATGTGGCTGACAGCACAGGTAACCTTATACCCATTTTACAGATGAGGAAGCCGACCCAGACAAATTAACGCAATGGTCCATGTCTGGTACATTTCAAGATCAGGATCCTGGGGAGGGGTGGCCTCCTGAAATAGGGGGATATTATGACCTTCACCTGCCCTCCCTGAAACCCCAGATGACTGGTTGAGGCTGAACTGTCTGGGGAACTTCCTCTGACCTAAATCCTGTCGGCTATACCCAAACACCAGCCAGAAGATACAAACAGCCACACCCTCACCGTTTTTGCCCCAACTTGTGCTTCATGCCAGGGGATTTCTCTTTCAGGAACTACATTTAAAAAGGGGGGAATTATATGATAATTGGACACCTACTATGTGGCAGACATTACACAAGGCATGCTTGTGTGGGTTATTTTATCTCATGTGAGCCATGTTATGTGGACAGGGAAAAGAGGAGGATGATGGAGGAGGAGGAAAGAATCGACTTGTTCCAACTGCTCTCCATAATAAAACTTCATTCAAGTGCATATAACCCTGAGTGTTCTTTCTAACATGCAAATGTGATCATACTCCAACTCTCTTGCTTAAAATTTCCCAGTAGCCTCCCTCTGTGTTCACAACAAAGTTGACACTGCACAGACATGCTCAGCTAGCCACATCGTCATATCCACTGTGCGCTCTGACCTCCTGGCCTTTGCACATGCAGTTTCTTCTTCCTGGAATGCCCTTTCCAGCTCCCCACTTCCTTTCTTACTTTTACTTGGTTAAATCCTATTCATCCTTCAGCCCTCAGCTTTAAATGTTGCTTCCTCTAGGAAGCCTCCTTGTCCACTCAGACAGGAATAGGCCCCTGCTACATACCATGCTCTATACATACTATTCTGTGTTGTATCTGTTTAATAGTGTCCCACTAGGTAATGAGCTCCTTAGGGTCAGGAACTATGTCCTCTTCCTGTGTCCTCAGCACTAAGCATATTATGACTCCTAATAGGCATTCAATAAATGTTTAATAGATGGATGAGAAGAGGTTGAGCATAAAAATTATCCCCATTTAACAGAAGAGAAAACCAATCCCAAAGAGGGGGGAAAATGCCTGTCTAAGCTGGTTAATGAATGAGTTACGCCTCTGTAAATCCGCTCAGCATTGTTTCACTATTTCATTTATAATGAAGATCATGCAAACTTGTAAGTTCTGATCTAAATTGTTCTTATCACTATCTTTCAACATTGCACAGAAATAGGACCTGGGTCCTAATAATGTAATAATTATAAATACTGATTATCAGGTCTATAGTTAGTCCTGGGTCCTGATTTTAGGTGTCCAAGACACATTATACCTCATGACATCTTTCAGATGCCACCACTGTGATGTCTCTTCAACAGATGAGAAAGCTGATTCAGAGAGATTAAGTGATTTACCCAAGGATCCACAGCCTTCAAACCCAAGTACTCTCCAACTCCTAAGCCCAGGTTCTTTCCACCTCCCCATCCAGCCTCCTGACATGGCTTGGAGCCAACTCTTTTGTGACCTCACATCCCATCTAGGCCTCAGTTACCCCTCTGACAGGATACAGATGAGACCCCACAATCTCTATGGGTCCTCTGGGCTTAGCCCAAATGTCATACAAACACTGGCATTTTTCCCTGGCCACTTTTCCCTTCCCCCCTTCAGTTCCAGCATCTGCATGGGCTCCACCTCTGGGGAAAAGACCTGGCAAGTGAAGCCATCGTTGTTCCCAGTAAGTGGCCACCTTGAGAACCAGGCAGGTAGGGGCAGATCCTCCCATCCACAGGTGTCTCAACAAACAAACTATTTAGCAATTACATACACCCTTTGCCAGAGCTCCCACAGTCTTTCTGGACTCCAAAGAACTGCTCCTAACTCTAGGGTTACTGCAAGAGCTTCCTTCAGGTGCTTGTATTGATTTATTCATTTAACAAATATTTGAGCACCTATTACATTCCTGACATTGTTCTTTTAACTAACGACATTCCCCTTGGAGCCCTGGAACTTCTTCAACTATCTGAGATGAGGAAGTTCTTCCAAACAGTCTTATACTAGACTAGAAGTTCCATGAGGGCAGGGGCTACGTCTGTTTTGTTTGTTATTCTATCCATTACCTAGCACTGTGGCTGACATGTGGTAGGTCCTCATTAAACATTTGTTAAATGACTGAACAGGTAACTATTAAATGATCCATTTATCTCCTAAAAGTTGCATCTAATCCTCTACTTTGAGAAAACAGTCATGGCATTATGGCATTTAGAATCAAAAGTGACCATTGAGGGAAAAAAAAAAAAAAGAAAGAAAGCTACCCTCATTCCCCCATTTTATAGAAAGGAAGCCCCGGAAAGAAGAGATACTGAGTTCAGGGCAGAGTCTGGAGTACACCTCAGGCCTCTTGACTTTGGCCTAAGCACCTTCTCTGAGTTCGGACATCACTCCAAAACCCTAAACATATTCTCATCTCATTCTCACAGCAGCCGTCTGGGGCAGGGGAAGAGGAAGGGAAGCATTCCCTTTGCCAAATGGCAGAAGGGAAAATTGAGACTCAGAGATGTGAAGTGGAGTGGCTTCCCAACCCCAGGTCACACAACCAAGCATCTCAGGATTTCTCCTCGTTAACAAATGCCCATTCCACCCATCTCCCTCCCCACTGCTCGCTGCTTTCACAAGCCTTAAAAGAGATGTGAAAGGACAAGCCCTAGAATTGCAAAGACCTTTCTCTTTGTTATTCATTCCACTTCTGGGAGGTTTGGTTAATCTATCCGCCCAGTGCAAAAAATGAGGTCCATCCAGACACTCATAATTGCTATATATTCTTGAAGGGGGCTGGTGGCCCAAACACTTATCTCCAAAGCCAAATGTTCTCCAGTGACACCAAGAACATCTTTTCCCTTCTATGATGGCACTAGGTGAGCAGGGACCAGGGGTCTTTGGGAGACTATTAGGCCTATCTCAAACCTCAGAGGGCCCTCTAGACTCCATACACACCAGGTCTCTCTGACTACAGGCTCATCCAGGCCACAGGTCCCTGCCTTCCTTATCATGGCTGGTGCCACCTCAGCAGCCTTATACTATAGTGATGGGTATGGGGGAGTGAGAGATATCTTGAAAGAGGCCAGGTACCTTAGGAAAAGAAGAAGAAAAAGGGCCAAACGAAAGCAAGAGTAGCAATTGTACCCTCCGGACAATGACACATGAGTAACCTGGAGTGGAGATTTTTACCTCTGGGGCAAAGAATCTTAGTTACTCAGGAATGAAAAGATAATGCCTTTCTTTTTCTAAAAGAGGAGAGGAAGGATCAGTATGCTGTCATCCTATTTCATGATTAGAGATAATTTACAACTATATTAAAAGACAGAATGTCCCACCAATAACTTTAAAATGCCAGTGTGACTTGCTGTTGAACAGCACAGGGCAGGAACCCCAGTGCTGCTCCACACCAGCTGAAGAATCTTGAACAAATCGCCTGAACTTCCTGAATCTGTCTCCTGGGCTGAACAGTGGCACTAATGGGCAAGGGTTTGTGAGAATTAAATGATGTCACATATGTAAAGCACCAAGCACCATGCCTGGCACACAGGAGGTGCTAAACAAATATTGCTTTTTCTTTTTTTTCAAGAATTGGGAATGAATTATGCTTTGGAAATCAAATAGTCATGGAAAAACCTAGGGGCCCCCCAGTAAAGTAAAGTTTCACCAGGGCTTAACAGACCCATTTCCCAATAGTTTGTTCAAGGACAAGCCCTCACACCGTGTGACTAGCCTCCCACACACTGGGTTTGTATGCTTCCTTTCCTGTTCTCCTTGAGCCAGGCCTCACCAGCAAAAATGCATCTAGCCACTCAAAACGCCCTCATTACAACTCACCCAGCAGGATTCCCACATGCCTGTTGGCATGTGCACACATATACTAAAAATGCATGCAATGTGATGCAGCCCGATAAAGCGCGTGGCTCCCTTCCACATACGTTCAACGAACGGTATAGCAGAGTGGAAAGAGCAGGATTTGTGGGACTGGATGGGTGTGGGTTCAAAGCTATTTCCTTCTTTTAACAGTGGTGTGATCTTGAGCAAATCTGTAAATCTTGGTCCCCTTCCTCCAAAAGATGGTAATTATAATACTTAGCTTTTAGTGTTGTTCTGAGGATCAAATAAAACAATGTGTATAAAATAATGGTCTGATATGCTATAGGTGCTTAAATATATTTATTGCATAAAATGCCAAGAATTTGAAATGAGAGGAGAGAAGGGAGAGCCTAGCACTGAGCTCACCTTCTGTAGGTGTTTTACCCAGTGAAGTGGTCTCTTCTGTTTCCAGCCTCCTTTGGGGCTATTTGCCTCTGACACTAAGACTTTGACCTTAGCTGGTCTTGCTCTGCTATTAGGCTGTTTTTTGTTTTTTGTTTTTTTTTTTTTTTTGAGACGTAGTCTCACTCTCTTGCCCAGGCTGGAGTGCAGTGGCCAGATCTCGGCTCACTGCAAGCTCTGCCTCCCAGGTTCACGCAATTCTCCTGCCTCAGCCTCCCGAGTAGCTGGGACTACAGGTGCCTGCCACCATGCCTGGCTAACTTTTTTTTGTATTTTTAGTAGAGAGGGGGTTTCACCGTGTTAGCCAGGATGGTCTTGATCTCCTGACCTCGTGATCCGCCCGCCTCGGCCTCTCAAAGTGCTGGGATTACAGGCGTGAGCCACCGCGCTCGGCCTAGGCTGTTTTCATTTTGCCTCAACAGACTTGACATCACACTGAAAGTGAAGGGCATGTTTCCCATCTACATCCCCCCACCTCCATCCCAAATGCCTAGTGCACAGCTGGGGACAGCAGGGACCCTCAAGGAAGACGAAGGGACTTCTTTTCACCTCGAAGCTCTTTTCATGCCCTCATTCCCGCCCTCCTTCCCCTGCCTCTTTGGGCCTGGTTGGGTAAGATGGCCAGCAATGAGCAGGAAGAGTAGGGACAGAGAAGGGTATAGGAGAGCCACTCCAGATGTGGCTGGCATTTTGAAATGGAAAACAAAACCAAAAAAAAAAAAGCATTACAAAAAGAGAAACTCCCTCCCCTCCTTCCCTCCTCATTCATCTGTCAAAATGTCATATAAAGAAGGAAGAAGATAAAGTGAAGCAGTCTATATCTGAGACAGATTGGAATTTTAGAATTATATGGGCAACTATTTTGCATAATGCAGAGAGCTTTTTACCAGCTTTGTCCTATTTTACCTGCACACCATCTTAGTGAAGAAGACATAGCTAGTCCACTCTCAGTAGTGAAACTGAGGATAAGGAAAGTGTAGCCATTTGCCTGAGATCATACAAAAAGGAAATACCAGATATAGAGCTCAAAACTGAGCCTTTCTACCCTAGATCCCATATTCTTTCTGTTATGAAAGCCATTTCTCCACAGGACAAAGAAGAGAAATTCCAAATGATTAGGCCATCTCTCCTCTATTCTGCCTGTACTCTGACAACCTATACATCTGGAAAACCTAAGCAGTATATACACAGGGCTATTCACTTTGTAATCATTCATCAAAATGCACCTCTTATGACTTGTATGCATTTCTGTATATATGTTATGCTTCTTTTTTTAAAAAAAGGATCAAATAAAATTCTATTAGAAAATCACTTTTCTCAAAAGACCTTCTCCAATTTTTATTTTTAACATACAGATCTAGTCATGTCACTCCCCTCCCTACAGTCTTTCTATGGCTCTCCATAGCTTTCTGTGGTTTTCAGCATCCCATTCAATCTGATCCCTTGTGCACCTCTCCAGCCCCCTACATAGTGCAGAACCTATACAGGCCAGCCTGTCTTTCCTCCATTCCTTCTTCCTAGAACCATTCCCGCTTGGGCCTGGCCAGCTCCTACTCCCTCAACCTTTAGGCCTTGGAAGGGATAATACTTCCTGCAGAAAGCCCTCTCTGAACACCAGCCCCGAGGTTGTAACTCAGACCTGCTAATGCCCATCGCATCAGGGGTCTACTTCTACCACAGCTCCTACCATGCTCAACAATAAATGTCCATTTCTCTGTTCATTGAAGCAGTCTGTGAACTCCTTGAAGGCAGAGACTGTGCTTCCTCATTTCTATCTCCAGCACCCAGCATAGCAGGGGCTCAGTGAATATTTCTGGATCAAAAAATTAATGGATCAACCCCCTACTAACCACCTTCAAATAAGATTTGTCTTACAAACTCTACTTGAAACTTTTTTTGTTCATCTGTGTGTGCTCTTCCTTTCCCTAATCTGAAATTCCTGGAGGCCACTGTAGCTGGGTTAAATTGGGACCCCAAAAAAGATGTCAAAACCCTAAACCCCAAACCCCAACACTTATGAATGTGAACTTATTTAGAAATAGGGTCCTTGCAGATGTAATTAAGTTAAGGATCTCAAGATGAAAACATTTTGAATTTAGGGTAGACCCTAAATCCAATGATTGGTTTCCTTATTAGAGAAAGGTGAGGGAGATTTGAGACACAGAGACACACAGTAGGGAAGATCATGTGAAGACAGAGGCGCGGAACGGAGCTGTGCTTCCACAAGCCAAGCAACACCAGGAGTCGCCAGAAGCTGCAAAAGGCAGAGAGTGGATTCTTCCTTAGGGCCCTTGGAGGGAGCGTGGCCCTGCCAACATTTTGATTTCAAATGCTTTGCCCTCTAGAACTGTGAGCGAATACATTTCTGTGGCTTTAAGCTACAAAGCTTGTGGTCATTTGTTACAGCAGCCACAGGGCACCAATAGCAGCAGTAACTATGCCTCTCGCTGGCTTGATGCTCCACCCACCCCTGAATCTTCCACCTTGCTGTACGCATAGTAGGGCCTCCATAAAAGCCCTTGTGAGAGACTGATTAGGAAAGGCCTTGTCATGAGCCATCCTCTGTTTTCAGCTGGGTTGCCTATCCTAATGGTTAACCAAAGCCAAAGAAAGTTCATGAAGACAGCACAGTCAGGTGCATCAGTTAGCATGGCCGGTGACTAGCATCTATTGAGTGCTCACCCTGGGCTAGACATTCTACCCATGCTGTCTCACTTAGGCATCTTTCATTCAACACGTTATTGAGCACCTGTTTTCAAGTAGGTCTATTCTACAAAAGAGGAAACTGAAGCTCAGGGAGGTGGGGTAACATGCTTGAGATCTCACAGTAAACAAGTGGTGGTGTCAGGACTGGAACTTTGGACTCCGGATGTTATTTTTCACTTTTCTAAGCTACCACGGTTTACGACATGAACAGAATTAAGACAGAGAACATGAAGGGAAGGGAGAAAAAGGGTGGAGAAGAGTGATTCAGTGCTGGCAGACATTGTGCTTTTGTTTTCATAGTCTGGGAGCAATTAGGTAGCACACCTGTGACTTTCAATTTGTTGTGGTGGGGCTAAATTTAAACCTTGAGTCATCTTTATCCGTAATCGATATGTATCTATATGAGCAAAATTAATCATATTGTAAAGCTGCCATGGGAATTCTAGACAACATCACAACTATGGTACAAACCACAAGCATGAAAGCCAGGCACGCCATTGCTGCAGACGAAACAGCGTTGGTCCCAAAGGTATGTGTGTGAAGGGCCCCTGAGCAGCCACCTAATTCTCCTCATCACCCTGGTCTGGTTAAGATAAAAGTTGATCAGTGACCCATTCAGGCCCCAAATCACCTGGAGCGTCAGTGCAGGCTCTTCCGTGCCATTTCATAAAGGGGACACACACATTCACAAAATCCAGCAAATATTTATTGAGCACTTACTGTGCTCCAGGTTCTGGGGACACAGCAGAAAACAAAACCAAGTCTGCTCTTATAGAGGTCACGTGCTGCTCAGGGGAGAGAGAAAATAAATAAGTAAATGAATAAGTGTCTAATATGCCACTGATAAGAGAAAAGAGGAAAACTAAAACGGAGGACTGGGAGTGCTTGGGTTTTTTTTTTTAATATTAAGTCATCAGGGAAGGCCTTTCTGATATGGTGCCATGTGGGCAGAGGCCTAAGGAAGTGAGAGGATGAAGCCTACAGATATCTGGAGGAAGAGAGAACTATATATGTGTGTGTGTGTATGTGTGTGTGTATATATGTGTGTGTATGTGTGTGTTTTTGTGTGTGTGTGTGTGTGTGTGTATATATATATATACACACAGACAGATGTATATATTTATAAAAGACCCAAAGCAAGAATGTGCTTGAATGTTCCAGTAACAGCCAGAAGGCCTTTGAGGCTGGAGCAGACTGAGCTAAGAGGGAGGTCAGGGAGTGCCAGAAGACAGGTCACACAGAGCCTTGCAGGCCATGGTGATGAGAAGCCACCGGAGGGAGTGGCACAGAGGAGCAGCAAGGTCTGGTTCAGGTTACAGAAGGACTGCCCTGCATGGAGAATGAAACAACAGGGACAGATAGAGGCAAGGAGACAAGTTAGAAAGCTGCTGCCACAATCCAGGAGACAATGGCTGGTGACCTGGACAGAGGGCTTCAATCACAGTAGATAGAAGCTGACCAAAAAGGTAAAAGAAAGGAAAGTGTTATGAAAAGGGAGAAGGAAAATAGTGGAAAGAGGGAAAAATGGAGTATGAGACAAAAGAATGTATTTTACATATCAAACAAGAACTGAGTCACCAATTATTAAATGTAAGACCCTAGGATGGGAATAAGGGGAAAAAGAACCAACCTTCGCTGGATCCCTCCTGTGTGTTACTGCTGCACCAGGTCTCATGGGTCCCACCTTGTGGTATCGCAATCATTTTAGGTAGAAATCAGGAGCCTTGATTGTGTAAATGAGGAATCTGAGGTCCAGAAAAGGTATATAGTTTCTGTAAGGTCAGACAGCCAATATGGGAGTGCTGGAATCAGAATCGAGTATCTAAGTCCAAAGCCTGCTCCTTCCAAACCTCATTCTGGCTGAGTGCAGAAAAGTGTATAGACATAGTTCCTGTCTCAAAAGCCTCCGTGGCATAGAAGAACCTCATGAGATGAGAATTGTTATCATCCCTATTTCTAGAAATGAAAAAACTGATGCCAGAGAGGTTAAGTGACCTGCCCAAGTCATAGCAGCTGGTAAGTGACCGAGCCAAGATTCAAACAAACAAAAAAAAAAGATTCAAACCCTGGCCTAGCTTCATATATCTTAACTACTACCCTGTATCATCATATGATGTAGTTGTTCTGAGCTTTAGTATACAAGCTAAACTTTATTTAAACTTTATTTATAGACAAATGGCAGGTATAAAAGGAACCAAATCATCTAAGTCCACTACTACTCTAAGTCTTCCTGAAGAATACACACACACACACACACACGCACCACACATTTATTGACATATATACCTACACATATAGATATGGGCACACCCTTAAAGTACATGAATACACAACATTCCAAAGTCAATTACTTCCTAAATTATCGTCTGTTATCTGAGCCTCTGAAAATTAAGTCATTTACCCAATTATGATGAATTGCCAAAGCCACCTTGTCCATTCCCAACAAGTAGACAGAGGTGGTCTTGAAATTACTTATTTAAAAATCAACTGGAAAACTCTGTTAATTTCTTTCAGAAACTAAGGGAAGGAGTGGAGGTCGGAAGGCTGACATCTCAAATATTCATCCTTTACCAATAGAGAACTCCACAAAACACCAGCTCCTAATGCCTTGCTTGTTCTCTGGAAATACAGACTCGGCCTCACTATAATTCAGTTCTAAACATTAGAAAGACACTGTCTTCTGTTACGAGATGCTGTCGTGTAGATAAATTTGTGAAGACTAAATGTGTCCACTGATAGTCCTGAGTTCTAAGCCTGTTCCCACCTGCTCCTAGCTTGCTATGTGACCCCAACATGGTGACTGTGTACTCTCATAAACAAAGTAAGAATAATATAATTCCTATTTCTTGAGGAATCATGAGGATTATAAAAGATCCCTTAAATAAAATGTCAAGCACAGGGTTGATATTTAATAAATCTTCGGTTTCCCTCCCGATTCCAGTAAAAAGGCTGTTAGAGGGCAAAGTTCATAGTCTTGACCTTTTCCCTACAGGGTAGAGAATCACTAACTCCCAACCAATAGAACCTGTAATTACTATCCTTGGACACCACAGGAAGGAGTTTAAAAAAAAAGGCAGATGTTTTCATGCATAAAGACAGGCCCAGGCATCGTTACCACGTTGCTAGGTGTTGTTAAGCCACCCACCTAGCCACAGAGTGGGCAGCAATTAATGTAATTAGCACAGTGATGAGTGTCCTCCACAATGATAAACAGCTCAGCCCTGCAGAACTTGACAGACCTGCTGCTCCCCAGGCTCCTGACCCTGAACTTCCACGTGGGGAGTGATGTAGTGTAGTTTAGTGGAAAGAGGCCAGGTTCTGAGTCTCATGGAACCAGATATAAATCCTGTCTTTGCTAATATCTAGCTGTGTGACTGAGGGCAAATCACTTCATCTCTCTGGGCCTTAGTTTCCTCATCTGTCAATGGGGTTATTAATATTCTCACAGGGTTGTTATAGTTACCTTCATCATCATCATCACCATCATCATCATCATCATCATCATCATCACAGAAATTGCAAAGGGTGGAGAGCAGGAACAGCCCATTTCTTTTTCTCTGGTTAAACTCAGAGGACAAACCTCTTATTTGATGGCTTTAGGGAAACAACTAGAGTTTGGGATAGAAAGAATATTGACACCCAGAAAAAAAGGAAGAGAAAACACTCCTTGATTTGATTAATTACTTATAATGTTATAAATAATTAACACAAGTGTTATCAGAAAAACTACTGCTTACATAAAACAGAGGCAACACAGCAATCTGGTAGCTGGTAATACAAGCATGAAACTTGCTGCTAAACTTTGGATCTAGCGATTCTGTTTTGAAAATTAACACCCTCAAAAAAGAAGTAAAATAAGCCAAAGGTTATGATTTCTCTCATTCTCTCTCTCTCTCTCTCTCTCTGTGTGTGTATGTGTGTGTGTGTGAGATGAAATTATTGATAATCATTAAGAATTCACTAATTCATCCAATTGGTAGTTGCTGAGTGCCTGTAGGTACCAGATAAAGACCTTGAGTGTGGACAAATACACAGACACACACACCATTAGGATTCATTGAAATGAAGGCTCTGAAAAAAGTCTGTAAAAGTAGAGGGAATCAAGGGAAGACAGGAACCAATAGGACTACTGCTAAGCAAAACTGAAGCACTGTTTCTGAGACTGACAAGGAAATCAGCCATATGGAGTCTTGGAAATGTGCATGTGAAACAGTGTTAAATGAAAACAAAGAAAAAAGAAAAACTGTCTCAGCACTCTGTGAATGTCAGAGCTAGAAAGAATCTCAGAGAACATTCAGTTCAGCAGTTCTCAATCCTTTTCATGAAGACCTTGTGGCAAGTGAGGCTCACACAGCCTAACAATTCAGGCAGAGATCAATTAAGTTCTGGGTAATAATAACAAAAATTCCAAGCCTATAGCTGTCACTCCACCATTTTCTCTTTCACCTGAGACAGCTTCAGTATACCAAGGAGTGAAGCTATTAGAGGAATAACCTTGAATCCACTCTAATTTGTTTAATAAAATAGGGCTCTGGAGTCCACACTGCATTGAAAGCCAGTGATCTGGCACAAGTCTTCAGCAGTGGAGAAGCTGAGGCCCCAGGTGACCTATCTCTCTGTCATACTAGCACATACATCTTGCTCAATTGGTATTTGTTGAATAAGTATCCGTGAATGAGCAGGCAAATGAGATGATGTGACCAAGGTTACCCAAAGTGCATATAGCTGGTACCATATACTGAATAAAACTTAGGGATTGGAACCCAAATGCCCATCAATGATAAACTGCATAAAGAAAATGTGGCACATATACACCATGGAATACTATACAGCCATAAAAAATGAGTTCATGTCCTTTGCAGGGACATGGATGAAGCTGGAAGCCATCATTCTCAGCAAACTAACACAGGAACAGAAAATCAAACACCACATGTTCTCACTCATAAGTGGGAGTTCAACAGTGAGAACACATGGACACAGGGAGGGGAACATCACACTCCAGGGGCTGTTGTGGGGTGGGGGGCTAGGGGAGGGATAGCATTAGGAGAAATACCTAATGCATGTAGGGCTTAAGACCTAGATGATGGGTTGATAGGTGCAGCAAACCACCATGGCACAGGTATACCAATGTAACAAACCTGCACGTTCTGCACATGTATCCCAGAACTTAAAGTCAAAACAAACAAACAAGCCAAACCACCTTTAAGGATTGGGATTGAATTTAGACCAAAGTACCTAGAAATGTCTATTCTTATATTTCCTTTCTTAAATTTTCTCAAGCCTAACATAATAAATGAAACAATGGCCTAGCCGACATAGTGGTGCAGAGTTCAGCAGGCAGGACAGAGGGGCTCATGGTAATAACCTGACATGAGTGCTAGAATCATCAAGATATGGGAGGTAACTGCCTGGTCTCCAGTATGCAAAAGCCCTAATGGAGGACTGCACATAGAGTGACACTTTAAGTGGCAGTCAAGGAACAAAGATTCTTTTAATAAAACTGGCCAAGCACAGACCCCACAGGGCAAAGGCCTCAACACCTGATCATTGTTGGTGGCTTTTTCCTGCCTGTGACCATTCCCATCTCTCCTCCAACTGTAATGCCTCTCTTACACTACCCTCCTTCTGCCAGTTTCAGTGTTTATACCATTTATCTACATCCCCTCCTCAGAGAGGCCCTATCTGATCATTCTCTTTAAAAAGGTTCCCAATGTTATTCTTCAAAATCAGAGGATATTTAGAGATCTTCATGATCCATAGGCACAATCATTTGCCAACTCTTTGGTCAGATAATGTTTACATATTCAACTAGTTCCAGAGCTACACCCCAGGGAAAACATAGTTCTAAGTTATAGGCAAGTCTCACCCAGTTCTTTGCATTCATAACACACATTGCTTCTTGTGATTTTATATTGATTTGTTGACTTATTGTCTCTATATAGCAGTTATCACACTAGCAATTCCTGTTAATATTTATTGGGCATTTACTGTGTCAGGTACTAATCTAAGTACTTTACATATCAATTAATTTAACATTCATGATAACTCTCTGAAATAGGTTGTCATGAGCCTCATTTGACAGCAGAGAAAACTGATATCCAGAAAGGAATTTCACCAAGTTCATATAGTGAGTAAAGGAAAGGGTCAAGTATCAGACTGAGGAGATCTGGCTTCAGAGGTTAAGCTCTTAAACTACAGGCAATATGGAAGCACTGTGAAGACAGATTTCATGCCTTTTTGCTCACCACTTTATCCCTAGGACCTTGTCTAGCGTCTGGCATGGAATAGGGGCTCAACAAATTGGAAGGAAGGGAAAGGAAGGGAAGGGAAGGGGAGAAGAGAGGCAGGGAAGGAAGGATGGAAGGAGGAGAAAGGGAGGGAAGACAGGAAAGAAGGAAGGAAGAAGGAAGGGAGGAAGAAGGGAGAGAGAGGAAAGAAAAAGGGAAGGAAGGAACAAAGAAAGAGAGGATGGGAAGGAGGAAGGAAGAAAGGATGGGAGGAAGGAAGGGACAGAGGACAGGAAGGAAGGACAGGAGGAAGGAAGGAAAGAGTTTGGGAGAGAGGAAGGAGGAAAGGATAAGAGGAATGAAGGAAGGCAGAAAGGACAGGAATGAAGGAAGGGAGGGAGGACAGGAATGAAGGAAGGCAAGGAAGGGAAATGAAGGAGGGCTGAGAAGGAGGCTGTTCTGTGAGCCCCATCATGTCCCTCTCCTGGATAAAGTAGGGTTGGGACCCACTGAGCAGTTCCCGTGTCACGTGGGACCAACAGAGATGCAGGAGATAGTACTGAATGAAACACTGTCCCTGTCCCAGTAGTGTCTCCATCCTGGCCTCATGGTGGTCCAGTGGATCTGATGCCCTCAATGAAGTCTGGAACTTCTTCAGTGGGTCCTGGATTTTTCTCAACTTACAAAAGGAAGTTCAACTGTAATGCAAACATTCTGCTCTGGGGCCTCTGTGCTGGGCCCTCAGAGCACATAGAGGAATATGACAGAGCCCTCTCTCAAGAAGCTCACAAGCTAGTTAAGAAAAGGAAACCTGAAACCAAGGAGGGGAGTGGATAGTAGCCTGGTCAGGCTGGAAAGGGAGGGAGGGACAGAGGGAGAGACTCATGTCTCTCATTGAATTCTGTTATATCTCTGAGAGTCATTGCTTATTCTGCTCATGAAGCCTGCGATTCATTGAGAGCTACAACCCCTCATCTGCATCTGTGGACTGCTCTGCTATACACATGACCCTGTAACACATGTTACTATAAAACAAGGCAAGACTGATAACTAGAGGAATGATAGCACAATAACATGCAAGCTGCTTGATTTTTCCCAGGATGTCAAAGATTTGTTGCACCAAGGAGCAGCAGCTGAGGAGAAGGTACACTAGCATGGTTGAATACATTTGCCACAGAGAGATGGATAGTGGGAATACTGGACATGATGCCTTTACCCACTCCAGCCCCATCATGCTGGGCTGTTTGTCTACATGCTCCTTCTTGGAAGAGCTTTTAGCATGGTGCTTTCCGATCTTTGAACATTTGCCCTTGCCTACACAACTAAGCAGCCTCATCCCTTCCTTAAGCCTTCCATCAAGCAACCTTCACTAGTTTTAAAGTACAGTCCTAAATTTGCTATAGCATATATGCATTTGTGTATCTATTTAGTTATTCAAAGTTTAACAGGTCTTCTTAGCTCTATTATTTTTATTAGGATAAATATCCTAATCTTAGCATTGTGGTCATAATATTGTACAGGTTTTTGTGGTCTACCCAACCCTATTTTTGCAAAAGTCCTGTTTTTTTTTACGTTCATTATTATTATTATTATTATTATTATTATTATTATTATACTTTAAGTTTTAGGGTACATGTGCACAATGTGCAGGTTTGTTACATATGTATACATGTGCCATGTTGGTGTGCTGCACCCATTAACTCATCATTTAGCATTAGGTATATCTCCTGATGCCATCCCTCCCCTCTCCCCCTACCCCACAACAGTCCCTGGTGTGTGATGATCCCCTTCCTGTGTCCATGTCTTCTCATTGTTCAATTCCCACCTATGAGTGAGAACATGCAGTGTTTGGTTTTTTGTCCTTGCGATAGTTTGCTGAGAATGATGGTTTCCAGCTTCACCCATGTCCCTACAAAGGACATGAACTCATCATTTTTTATGGCTGCATAAAGTCCTGTTATTTTTAATGTACAATTCTGTAGAACACAAACTATTTCAGGAACCTGTATATAATGTTACAACAGAAATGCTTCTATCAGTTCACCAAAGACTCTCCCATAAGCTATCATGGCATTCCTTACATAAGTTCTTTGAAGTAAATGTCAATCACCACATTCACTTTTCAGATGAGAAAACTGAGGCTCTGAAATATTAAATGACTTATTCAATGGAGATGAATTAGGACTTGAATCCAAGTCTTCAACTCCAAGTCTATTTATTCAGTCTTCATTTTACCCATGGCACTTAGCACAGTTCCTAGCACATGGTAGGCAATCAAACAGTAAGTAATTCTGGGAAAAATTAACACTGTCCCCATAGCATTCCTCTAGCTAACAATATCGTTCATGAATGTCATTTTGAAAAATAAAGAAAGAAATATTGAGGAAAGCAAAAAGGTAACCAAATTTTTTTGAGCTCCTACTATGAGCTAGGAATAACCCTGGGTGCTTTGTAAACACATACACACACACACACACACACTAGGAGATAGCTTTTGTTATTCCATTTTACAGATGAGAAACTGGTGGTGAGACGTTTAAGGAAATTACCAAAGATTACAATAGCGGGAAGGGAATGAGTTCAGATTCAAACCCAAGTCTTCCTGATTGCAAAGTCCATCCATACTTTTCACTGTATCAGTGAAAAAGGCCTGTTACTTATAGAATAAGAGATGACTTTCAGTGGTAGATAGACACATTTATTTTATACTTTTGTAATTATATTTATAGTTGTCTAAATGTTTATGGCAATTGATGCTTGTTATCCATTTACAATAGTACTCATCATCTCCTATAAAATTTGTCTTTGAGTTTTAAAAAAGTGAGTCCATTTAAAGAAAAGTATTAAATTGATTTTAGACATGTAAGTGGATATAGCAAAATGGAAACAATGATTAGTAAGTGACTGAAACTTGAGAAGCACAAATCTTAATCCTAACAAATTCCTTAATAAAACATTTTTGTATATGTGATTGGTTCCCATAAGGTGTATTGGCAGATATTTTCTAAATTATTTAGAGTAAAAAGGAAATGAAAACAAATCCGATTCCATGGGCAGTATTGTAAGAAATTTAACATGCTACCCTTTATTTCAATATTCTGTGTCATTTGGTGTTTCTGTGGTAGTTGCTGTAAGAAGTGCTTGGGTTCTCTTAGAATAAAGGAAGCAGTAGAAGAATCCATACAATTTTTAAGAGAGTAGTGGAAGTTTTCAGAGCCTAGTGAATATTCCCAAATGATCCACATGCTTGATGTTTGTGTTGTGCAGAGAAACAAAGTAAAAGACCCTGGGACTACTCAAGACACCTGGGTTTCCATCTTATCTTTGGATGTTAACTTACTACATCACTCAAGTAAGTTATGGCTGGGGTGCTCAGTGTCTTCATTATTTAAATGACAGAGTTTTGATTTCCATAACCATTTTCCAGTAATGTGAGACACACCCAATAGAGAGAATAACTATAACTGGCAAAAGCAGTTATTCCTGTAACTTAGGAAGCACATGCCTACATGGGCACTAGAGCCCTTCCAGGTCTAAAAATCTGATTTCATGATTTCAGTTCCTTGGGTTGCAGATGGCCATACAAATAGCAGTAACATAGACACATTGCCATTAAACAGTCTCTGGATTATGCTTAGAATGTCACACCACAGATAGCATAAGCCAAGCTGTTGTAAATTCGTACCTGTCCTACTAGATAGTGAGTATTCTGGTTAATTAAATGTCCACGTTAATACCACTGTGCTCATTATAACTGTAGATAAGGACTTTGTATTTTTAAGAAATGCATTATGTAACTGCAATATATCAAACACAATTTAAACTATCACTA